>NC_000010.11:17888787-18040303 GCF_000001405.40 Homo sapiens | reverse complement strand
ACCATTTTAAACAAATTACATGCTCTTTTGGTGTCTTTATGCCAGGTTTAAACATGTTATACTTTAGAAAAATCTTATCTGATTCATCAATTATAAATTCAAAATGCCATTTTGGAAAATCTATGGAATGTGGATAAAACAGTCTATATTTTCAATTTTGTAGTAAAGTGACTTAGCAAGAAGCAGCTGAAACATCTGATTTCATGTTTTATATATTACGTATATGTTTTAAATTACATATATTTAATGTTTGAACTATATGTAACTGTTGCAAGTTTCTCATATAGTTAACAATGGATTTATGACAAACTTTCCCCGTTTCCTCCTAAGTGGCGAATGAATATCTTTCATTTACTAAATGCCTTGATATTAGTTCAACATTCAGAGTGTTTTGGTTTCTAAATGCCTTGATATTAATTCAAAATCCACAGTGGACATGGCAGAATTCTAGATTAAGGCTTATATGTATAGGGAAGAAATAGTATTTGTTCTCAAAGAGCTTGCATTTGATGGTACTCTTGAGGGATTAACAAGGTACATACATGGGAATTTTCCAATACCTTGTTTTTCTTTTTTTTGATTCAGGGTCTCACTGTTGCCCAGGCTGGAGTGCAGTGATGTGATCATAGCTCACTGTAGCCGTGAACTCCTGGGCTCAAGCAATCCTCCCACTTCAGCCTCCTGGGTAGCTAAGACTGCAGGTGCATACTACCCTACCCAGCTAATTTTAAAATTCTTAGTAGAGACGAGGTCTTGCTATGTTGCCTAGGCTGATCACAAATGCCGGGGCTCAACTGATCTTCCTGCCTCAGCTTTCCAAAGTGTTGGAATTACAGGCATAAGCCACCATACTCAGCCCCAATCACTTTGATTCTCAATAGTTTTCAGTATTTTTTAATAGTTTTCTCCAAAGCCAGACAACATAGGCCACCACCTTCCTTTGTCCCAGTAAGCTGCATCTCAAACTGCATCTGTGAGACACAATCATACCATCTGTGGTCATTTACAGGCTCAAACCTTGATTACTCTAATTTCCAAATATGGAATAAGATCTTGTGTAGTTCCCTCTCCTCCTCCTCCTCCTCCTCATTTTTCAAACAAGATTATTAATTATCTTTTGTAAAACATGGCTGAATTAACAGCATATCCCATCTCTGTCCCTACTGCCACCTGGCTGTTCTTAGTCTTTGGTAAAGTACACAGTAGAAGTGTTTTCTGGAAAGGTTTTGTTTGCAAAGACTTATAAAGTATAGGTCATTTATTGAACCATCACGATTATTTTGAGTGGACTATTATGGAGAAAAATATTTTGGGCAAGATAGACGCATGGTAGTAAAAATGGTTCTGGTTCAAGAGATAGAATTTGAGATGACTTTTCAAATCATCAATATCTTCATGAACCTACATTTTGGAAAGCTCACTTTTGAATTTCCATCTTTGCCTCACACTTCCAGGAAGGGTCTTTGGCTGAGGAGAAGTAGACCCTAGATTTGGGTCGATCAAATCACCAAAATGTTTTAGGTACAAAAACACAGAGCTAGAATTAATATCTTGTAAATTATAGCAGAATTTCAAGCTGTTTCTGTTTTGACTAAATCCAAAACATGTCCCAGTTATTTTTATTTATTTATTTATTTATTTATTTATTTTTGAGACAGAGTTTCACTCTTGTGGCCCAGGCTGGAGTGCAGTGGCATGATCTCAGCTCACTGCAACCTCCCCACCTCCCAGGTTCAAGCAATTCTCCTGCCTCAGCCTCTGAAGTAGCTGGGATTACAGGCACACACCACCACACCTGGCATATTTTGTGTTTTTAGTAGAGACTGGGTTTCACCATGTTAGCCAGGCTGGTCTTGAACTCCTGACCTCAGGTAATCTGCCCACCTTGGCCTCCCAAAGTGCTGGGATTACAAAATTGTCCCAAATTTTTAAAACAATTGTCCAATCCATTATTTTTCTCACTAGCCTTAGTTTATAAACCTGCTGCTTGCTTGGAGGATTTAATACCTATTGAATTGAATGCATCTTTTATGAGAGTCAGTGACCCTACTCCCAGTGAGAAAATTAAGAATTCTTTATTCTTGTATATAAATGACGGCATTATCCACCAGAAAACACCATGAACATTTTCACAACTCCAGAGGCAACATTTACATGGAATACAATGTCTTCAGGAGTTGCAACAGGCTCCTGTATTTTTTTTTAATCGAAATAATGGACCCTATGATAACTTGCCATACAGTTAGCTGTGCTTTTTTTTTTTTTTTTTTTTTTTTTTTTTTTTTGAGATGGAGGCTCACTCTGTCACTAGGCTGGAGTGCATTGGTGTGATCTTGGCTCATGGCAATCTCCACCTCCCGGGTTCAAACAATTCCCCTGCCTCAGTCGCCCACGTAGCTGGGACTACAGGCACGCACCACCATGCCTGGCTAATTTTTTGTATTTTAGTAGAGATGGGGTTTCATGATGTTGGCCAAGATGGTCTCCATCTCCTGACGGTGATCCGCCCACCTTGGCCTCCCAAAGTGCTGGGATTACAGGTGTGAGCCCCTGCACCTGGCCTAGCTGTGCCTTCTAGCAGCACTTCTTTCCTGCCAGGTCTTTCAGGTTGTCCTGGCTACAAAGTCTTATGCAATGCTTATTTTATTTGCCTTTCATTTACATCTATTTATCACGTCCTTTCTTACATATATATTTCCCCCCTTTTACTTCTCATAATCCTGCAAGTGATAAAACTATTCACTCCTTTCAGTTTTGAAGAAACATTAGCTCAGAGAGGATAACAGCTCACCCACAGTCACATTGTTGTGATGTCAGAAAGAGGACAAGAAACCAGGTCACCTCCTAACTGTAGTGAACATACAAAGAACTGCAAAGATCAATTCTCTATCTGAGATTCACTGTTTCTATCTGAAATTCATCCTTGTCTATTATGACCAAGGGCGAATTGGTCTAATTAGAAAAAAATGGAAAATATCAATGGTAGAAATGTCCTATTAAGCATAAAAATGTCACTGCACTTCATGAAAATTTGATAAAATACATGATGCAATCAATAATGAATTATCAATAATCAACACTTAATAAATCAATAAACAATAACAGCAAACACACCAACAGAAAATCAGGCAAAAGATACCAAACAGGTAATTCAAGAAGAGGAAAATCAAATGGTCCAAAAAATTTTGGAAAGAGGTATAATCTATAGCAATTTTTAGGCTGGGCATGGTGGCTCACACCTGTAATCCCAGCACTTTGGGAGGCCTAGGCTGGCAGATCACTTGAGGTCAAGAGTTCAAGACCAGCCTGGCCAATATGGTGAAACGCAGACTCTATTAAAAACACAAAAATTAGCCAGGCATGGTGGCGGGTGCCTGTCATCCCAGCTACTTGAAAGGCTGAGGCAAGAGAATCGTTTAAACCTGGGAGGCGGAGGTTGCAGTGAGTCGAGACTGTGCCACTGCACCGCAGGCTAGGCGACAAGAGTGAGATTCCATTAAAAAAAAAAATATATATATATATATATATATATATATATATATATATATATATATATAATTTTTAAAATGCTAACTGCAAGATGCCAATGATATAGTTATTAGGCTGCCTTTGTTGTAAAAGATATCACGGGGGAGGAGCCAAGATGGCCGAATAGGAACAGCTCCGGTCTACAGCTCCCAGCGTGAGCGACGCAGAAGACGGGTGATTTCTGCATTTCCACCTGAGGTACTGGGTTCATCTCACTAGGGAGTGCCGGACAGTGGGCGCAGGCCAGTGGGTGCGCGCACCGTGCGTGAGCCGAAGCAGGGCGAGGCATTGCCTCATCTGGGAAGCGCAAGGGGTCAGGGAGTTCCCTTTCCTAGTCAAAGAAAGGGGTGACGGACGCACCTGGAAAATCGGGTCACTCCCACCCGAATACTGCGCTTTTCAGACCGGCTTAAAAAAACGGCGCACCACGAGATTATATCCCACACCTGGCTCGGAGGGTCCTACGCCCACGGAGTCTCACTGATTACTGGCACAGCAGTCTGAGATCAAACTGCAAGGCGGCAGTGAGGCTGGGGGAGGGGCGCCCGCCATTGCCCAGGCTTGCTTAGGTAAACAAAGCAGCCCTGAAGCTGGAACTGGGTGGAACCCACCACAGCTCAAGGAGGCCTGCCTGCCACTGCAGGCTCCACCTCTGGGGGCAGGGCACAGACAAACAAAAAGACAGCAGTAACCTCTGCAGACTTAAATGTCCCTGCCTGACAGCTTTGAAGAGAGCAGTGGTTCTCCCAGCACGCAGCTGGAGATCTGAGAACCGGCAGACTGCCTCCTCAAGTGGGTCCCTGACCCCTGACCCCCGAGCAGCCTAACTGGGAGGCACCCCCCAGCAGGGGCACACTGACACCTCACACGGCAGGGTATTCCAACAGACCTGCAGCTGAGGGTCCTGTCTGTTAGACGGAAAACTAAAAAACAGAAAGGACATCCACACCGAAAACCCATCTGTACATCACCATCATCAAAGACCAAAAGTAGATAAAACCACAAAGATGGGGAAAAAACAGAACAGAAAAACTGGAAACTCTAAAACGCAGAGCATCTCTCCTCCTCCAGCGGAACGCAGTTCCTCACCAGCAACGGAACAAAGCTGGATGGAGAATGACTTTGACGAGCTGAGAGAAGAAGGCTTCAGATGATCAAATTACTCTGAGCTATGGGAGGACATTCAAAGCAAAGGCAAAGAAGTTGAAAACTTTGAAAAAAATTTAGAAGAATGTAAAACTAGAATAACCAATACAGAGAAGTGCTTAAAGGAGCTGATGGAGCTGAAAACCAAGGCTCGAGAACTACGTGAAGAATGCAGAAGCCTCAGGAGCCAATGCGATCAACTGGAAGAAAGGGTATCAGCGATGGAAGATGAAATGAATGAAATGAAGCGAGAAGGGAAGTTTAGAGAAAAAAGAATAAAAAGAAATGAGCAAAGCCTCCAAGAAATATGGGACTATGTGAAAAGACCAAATCTATGTCTGATTGGTGTACCTGAAAGTGATGGGGAGAATGGAACCAAGTTGGAAAACACTCTGCAGGATATTATCCAGGAGAACTTCCCCAATCTAGCAAGGCAGGCCAACATTCAGATTCAGGAAACACAGAGAACGCCACAAAGATACTCCTCGAGAAGAGCAACTCCAAGACACATAATTGTCAGATTCACCAAAGTTGAAATGAAGGAAAAAATGTTAAGGGCAGCCAGAGAGAAAGGTCGGGTTACCCTCAAAGGGAAGCCCATCAGACTAACAGCGGATCTCTCGGCAGAAACCCTACAAGCCAGAAGAGAGTGGGGGCCAATATTCAACATTCTTAAAGACAAGAATTTTCAATCCAGAATTTCATATCCAGCCAAATTAAGCTTCATAAGTGAAGGAGAAATAAAATACTTTACAGACAAGCAAATGCTGAGAGATTTTGTCACCACCAGGCCTGCCCTAAAAGAGCTCCTGAAGGAAGCGCTAAACATGGAAAGGAACAACCGGTACCAGCCGCTGCAAAATCATGCCAAAATGTAAAGACCATCGAGACTAGGAAGAAACTGCATCAACTGACAAGCAAAATCACCAGCTAACATCATAATGACAGGATCAAATTCACACATAACAATATTAACTTTAAATGTAAATGGACTAAATTCTCCAATTAAAAGACACAGACTGGCAAATTGGATAAAGAGTCAAGACCCATCAGTGTGCTGTATTCAGGAAACCCATCTCATGTGCAGAGACACACATAGGCTCAAAATAAAAGGATGGAGGAAGATCTACCAAGCTAATGGAAAACAAAAAAAGGCAGGGGTTGCAATCCTAGTCTCTGATAAAACAGACTTTAAACCAGCAAAGATCAAAAGAGACAAGGCCATTACATAATGGTAAAGAGATCAATTAAACAAGAAGAGCTAACTATCCTAAATATATATGCACCCAATACAGGAGCACCCAGATTCATAAAGCAAGTCCTGAGTGACCTACAAAGAGACTTAGACTCCCACACATTAATAATGGGAGACTTTAACACCCCACTGTCAACATTAGACAGATCAACGAGACAGAAAGTCAACAAGGATACCCAGGAATTGAACTCAGCTCTGCACCAAGTGGACCTAATAGACATCTACAGAACCCTCCACCACAAATCAACAGAATATACATTTTTTTCAGCACCACACCACACCTATTCCAAAATTGACCACATACTTGGAAGTAAAGCTCTCCTCAGCAAATGTAAAAGAACAGAAATTATAACAAACTATCTCTCAGACCACAGTGCAATCAAACTAGAACTCAGGATTAAGAATCTCACTCAAAGCCACTCAACTACATGGAAACTGAACAACCTGCTCCTGAATGACTACTGGGTACATAACGAAATGAAGGCAGAATTAAAGATGTTCTTTGAAACCAATGAGAGCAAAGACACAACATACCAGAATCTCTGGGACGCATTCAAAGCAGTGTGTAGAGGGAAATTTATAGCACTAAATGCCCACAAGAGAAAGCAGGAAAGATCCAAAATTGACACCCTAACATCACAATTAAAAGAACTAGAAAAGCAAGAGCAAACACATTCAAAAGCTAGCAGAAGGCAAGAAATAACTAAAATCAGAGCAGAACTGAAGGAAATAGAGACACAAAAAACGCTTCAAAAAATCAATGAATCCAGGAGCTGGTTTTTTGAAAGGATCAACAAAATTGATAGACCGCTAGCAAGACTAATAAAGAAAAAAAGAGAGAAGAATCAAATAGACACAATAAAAAATGATAAAGGGGATATCACCACCGATCCCACAGAAATACAAACTACCGTCAGAGGATACTACAAACACCTCTACGCAAATAAACTAGAAAATCTAGAAGAAATGGATAAATTCCTCGACACATACACCCTCCCAAGACTAAACCAGGAAGAAGTTGAATCTCTGAATAGACCAATAACAGGAGCTGAAATTGTGGCAATAATCAATAGTTTACCAACCAAAAAGAGTCCAGGACCAGATGGATTCACAGCCAAATTCTACCAGAGGTACAAGGAGGAACTGGTACCATTCCTTCTGAAACTATTCCAATCAATAGAAAAAGAGGGAATCCTCCCTAACTCATTTTATGAGGCCAGCATCATTCTGATACCAAAGCCGGGCAGAGACACAACCAAAAAAGAGAATTTTAGACCAATATCCTTGATGAACATTGATGCAAAAATCCTCAATAAAATACTGGCAAACCGAATCCGGCAGCACATCCAAAAGCTTATCCACCATGATCAAGTCGGCTTCATCCCTGGGATGCAAGGCTGGTTCAATATACGCAAATCAATTAATGTAATCCAGCATATAAACAGAGCCAAAGACAAAAACCACATGATTATCTCAATAGATGCAGAAAAAGCCTTTGACAAAATTCAACAACCCTTCATGCTAAAAACTCTCAATAAATTAGGTATTGATGGGACGTATTTCAAAATAATAAGAGCTATCTATGACAAAGCCACAGCCAATATCATATTGAATGGGCAAAAACTGGAAGCATTCCCTTTGAAAACTGGCACAAGACAGGGATGCCCTCCCTCACCACTCCTATTCAACATAGTGTTGGAAGTTCTGGCCAGGGCAATTAGGCAGGAGAAGGAAATAAAGGGTATTCAATTAGGAAAGGAGGAAGTCAAATTGTCCCTGTTTGCAGATGACATGATTGTATATCTAGAAAACCCCATTGTCTCAGCCCAAAATCTCCTTAAGCTGATAAGCAACTTCAGCAAAGTCTCAGGATACAAAATCAATGTACAAAAATCACAAGCATTCTTATACACCAACAACAGACAAACACAGAGCCAAATCATGAGTGAACTTCCATTCACAATTGCTTCAAAGAGAATAAAATACCTAGGAATCCAACTTACAAGGGATGTGAAGGACCTCTTCAAGGAGAACTACAAACCACTGCTCAAGGAAATAAAAGAGGATACAAACAAATGGAAGAACATTCCATGCTCATGGGTAGGAAGAATCAATATCGTGAAAATGGCCATACTGCCCAAGGTTATTTACAGATTCAATGCCATCCCCATCAAGCTACCAATGACTTTCTTCACAGAATTGGAAAAAACTACTTTAAAGTTCATATGGAACCAAAAAAGAGCCCGCGTCGCCAAGTCAATCCTAAGCCAAAAGAACAAAGCTGGAGGCATCACACTACCTGACTTCAAACTATACTACAAGGCTACAGTAACCAAAACAGCATGGTACTGGTACCAAAACAGAGATATAGATCAATGGAACAGAACAGAGCCCTCAGAAATAATGCCGCATACCTACAACTATCTGATCTTTGACAAACCTGAGAAAAACAAGCAATGGGGAAAGGATTCCCTATTTAATAAATGGTGCTGGGAAAACTGGCTAGCCATATGTAGGAAGCTGAAACTGGATCCCTTCCTTACACCTTATACAAAAATCAATTCAAGATGGATTAAAGATTTAAACGTTAGACCTAAAACCATAAAAACCCTAGAAGAAAACCTAGGCATTACCATTCAGGACATAGGCATGGGCAAGGACTTCATGTCCAAAACACCAAAAGCAGTGGCAACAAAAGACAAAATTGACAAATGGGATCTAATTAAACTAAAGAGCTTCTGCACAGCAAAAGAAACTACCATCAGAGTGAACAGGCAACCTACAAAATGGGAGAAAATTTTCGCAACCTACTCATCTGACAAAGGGCTAATATCCAGAATCTATAATGAACTCAAACAAATTTACAAGAAAAAAACAAACAACCCCATCAAAAAGTGGGCGAAGGACATGAACAGACACTTCTCAAAAGAAGACATTTATGCAGCCAAAAAACACATGAAAAAATGCTCATCATCACTGGCCATCAGAGAAATGCAAATCAAAACCACTATGAGATACCATCTCACACCAGTTAGAATGGCAATCATTAAACAGTCAGGAAACAACAGGTGCTGGAGAGGATGTGGAGAAATAGGAACAATTTTACACTGTTGGTGGGACTGTAAACTAGTTCAACCATTGTGGAAGTCAGTGTGGCGAGTCCTCAGGGATCTAGAACTAGAAATACCATTTGACCCAGCCATCCCATTACTGGGTATATACCCAAATGACTATAAATCATGCTGCTATAAAGACACATGCACACGTATGTTTATTGCGGCATTATTCACAATAGCAAAGACTTGGAACCAACCCAAATGTCCAACAATGACAGACTGGATTAAGAAAATGTGGCACATATACACCATGGAATACTATGCAGCCATAAAAAATGGTGAGTTCATGTCCTTTGTAGGGACGTGGATGAAATTGGAAATCATCATTCTCAGTAAACTATCGCAAGAACAAAAAACCAAACACCGCATATTCTCACTCATAGGTGGGAATTGAACAATGAGATCACATGGACACAGGAAGGGGAATATCACACTCTGGGGACTGTGGTGGGGTGGGGGGAGGGGGGAGGGGGAGGGATAGCATTGGGAGATATACCTAATGCTAGATGACGAGTTAGTGGGTGCAGCACACCAGCATGGCACATGTATACATATGTAACTAACCTGCACAATGTGCACATGTACCCTAAAACTTAAAGTATAATAAAAATAAATAAATAAATAAATAAATAAATACATAAATAAATAAAATAAAATAAAAATATATCACAGTACTGGTTCTATGTTTTCAAGGCAGACAATATGTGTTTGAAAAGACTTGGCCGGGCACGGTGGCTCACGCCTGTAATCCCAGCACTTTGGGAGGCCGAGGCAGGCGGATCACGAGGTCAGGAGATTGAGACTATCCTGGCTAACATGGTGAAACCCCGTCTCTACTAAAAAAATACAAAAAATTGGCTGGGTGTGGTGGTGGGCCCATGTGGTCCCAGCTACTCGGGAAGCTGAGGCAGGAGAATGGCATGAACCTGGGAGGCGCCACTGTGCTCCAGCCTGGGCGACAGAGAGAGACTCCATCTCAAAAAAAAAAAAGAAAGAAAAGACTAAGTTTGCAAGCTCATAGATATGGGCAAACAGTGCAAATCAACATTTCAAAAAAAGTTCAAGGAGATTCTCATCTGAAATAAAAGTTTCCATTTCAATTTCGGTGGCCTATGTGAACTTTCCATGTTCACATGTAAATCAATTCGGTGAGAAACCCAGCTAAACCTGCTTTTCTGACAATACTTGGCTCTTTTTAGTATGATTATGGATGAACATATGAACCATAGTATCTCTTGGATACCAAATACCAGAGAGTCCTACAGAAAGTCTTTCCAACAGCTACAAATACGAAATGCCAAAACTCAAACCCTATCTAATTATAGCTTTCCACCTTCTCTTAATCTCCATATATGTATATATTTTTTCCATCATTTTAGCCAGTCAATTTTGAAGGAAAATAAAGGTTCATATGAATTAATTTTCAAGAGTATTTATTTTATTTTTTTGTTAGAAATTTAAAATTTTTGGCAGGAGTTTAAATGCCACCATTTCCCCCTCTGAATTTCAAAAAGGAAAGAAAAATCCCTTCTTCCTCCAGGGCAGTTAAGTCCTGTTATTGAGCAATTTTACGGATCTTGATTTATACTCTAAGAGTAGAGGAGGGGAAATGATGAACAGAGTATATTAACAATGACATAAAGGTACAGAGAAAAAGAAGGACATTTTAGCAGAAGTGTCTTGCCCAGAGGTAGTGCTAAGAGAAATGTTCTTTAGATTTCTGCCAGAAACTTGGAAACCTTGAAGTAGAGAAGTAACTTCCTTTTTTACCACTATGTTTCACAAGTTGTCCAACCTAAATCAGTAGGTGCAAAGAGTTGTTAGTCAAGAAGTTGTAATTTTCTGGAAATAAAAAATCTTTAGCTAAAGTGCATCCCTTTGGCCTGCCGTTGTTGAGTTCTTTTTTCAAGTGTGAATCATGGCACAGGTAAGAAATTCCTTAAAATGCAGCAGAGTCCACAAACTACGACTTATCCACAGAGAATGGTCCTCGCAAGTTCTGTTACCTAATTGAAAACTGCTTAGGATGGCTAACTGCTAAGTAGCATTTCTGAACATTTTAGAAAGTGACATTAAGAAAATGTTTTGGGCTGGGCACGGTGGCTCACGCCTGTAATCCCAGCACTTTGGGAGGCCGAGGTGGGCGGATCACGAGTTCAGGAGATTGAGACCATCCTGGCTAACATGGTGAAACTCCACCTCTACTAAAAAACAAAAATTAAAAAAAAAAAAAAGTTTTGGTGGGGCGTGGTGGCTCACGCCTGTAATCCCAGCACTTTGGGAGGCTGAGGCGGGTGGATCACCTGAGGTCAGGAGTTCAAGACCAGCCTGACCAGTATGGTGAAACCTCGTCTCTATTAAAAACACAAAAATTAGCCGAGTGTGGTGGCAGGTGCCTATAATCCTAGCTACTCGGGAGGCTGAGGCTGGAGGGTTGCTTGAACCTGGGAGGCAGAGGTTGCAGTGAGCCAAGATCACACCACTGCACTCCAGCCTAGGCGATAGAGTGAGATTCCATCTCAAAAAAAAAGAAAAGAAAAGAAAATGTTTTAAACTTGAGTCAATCCCTATAACCTCATTCCTAGTCAAGTCGAAGCTTTAAAATAAAATACTCATGAAGGAAATTAGGAGAACCATCAGGAAAGAAAGTAGACAAATACCAGCATCTGGTCCTATGTGATAACTGTATACTAGGGAGGACCTGTCACAAAGAAGGATGATCCACAAAACATCCTCTGGAACTCGTATTTTGTCCCTCTTTCTTGTACATCTGAGTTTCAGACTCTCATGACAAGCAAAGCATTTACTGTCCACTTCCATCTGTAACCTGAAACTGGTTTCCTGTTGGCATCACTAAAGACCCATTATCAAATATTTCAACATTTACCTTTATTCATGATTCATAAATATACACACTGAAGAAGAAAGATCAGCCTCCAATGCTTCCAAGATAAAGATGTCAAAGAGCTTTCACTGATAAAAATTTGCAATTCAAATATAGAAACAATATTCATTTACTGATGACATTTAGAGACGTCTCCTATGAAGGTAAGGTTGTACTTTAAGTATTTTTCTCTCTCAGGAATGCATAGCTTTTGGCATTATGAATGCTTAGAAGTGATTTGCTTCTCCATTCATAAAGTTCACTTAACTGATGTACAACATCTGTTTCCAAGAGGGATCCTAAAAGTCACTGTGCACACGGAGGCAGGTATACATTTGCATTTGATAAGCAGAACCATGTTTGCTTCTAAGAAATGTGATAAAGAAGAAAACTCAGAAATTTATCTTGGGGGGCATCCTAATTATGTTTAATTTCTAGAGGAACACACATTCTGTGGGAGTCTCTAACTCCAGCCCATTTGTAAATGGCTTAGTTTGTCCTTGCAGAAGGCAGGCATCTAACAACAAAATGGAACATGATGGTGCAAGTCACCATTTGGCTTACAAATGAGCAATTGCCATTCTGTCCTAACAAGTAAAGCTGATCAACTGAAAAACCAACAACTCTCTTTAGATGCATCAGAGAAAGGTATACACTGTCTCAGACATTGGAGAGACAGCAGGTAGACTCAGACAATCACAACTTACCAGAGCAAAAGCCCAGTAGCAGAAACCTCTGCTAGAACCAGTCAGTGGAAGGTTAAGAAAATCTGACTGCAATGAATGAATTGCTGAAAGCTCAGCCTGGACAACTCTGAGTTTAAAATTCCGGAAGACCCAATCTTAAAAGGCCCCCAGATTTTGTGAGTTTTACCTCCAGGAGCTCCACGGGTTCTCACAGTGAACACTGGAGAAAAATCTTCTCATACTTCTGGTAGGAGGAGAGGGAAAATAATCATTTTGAAATATACCAGAGCATTCTGCTCTTAACAAGATCTTCCCTCAGGGGAAACTGGTTAACCAGAACCTAACCTATTGGGGTTTTATCAAAGCCTAATCCACCTGGGGAAGGAAAATACCCAATTTCAGCTCTTTCTAGCCATGCTGTCTTACTTGAGGGAAGGGATAATGAGAAACACTGATGAAGTTCATAGTCCAAGGGCACAAGCTCACTGAAAGACTGAGATCTACCAAAGGACTGTAGAGCCTTCCCTTTCCCCTATGTATTCCTTCTTACCACATTACTAATGGCCTATTTAGCACAATTCTGTTCACTCAGTACAACATGTTCACCTTTCAAATTACAAGACATATTAAAAGGCAAAAGATGGTTTAAAGAAACTGAACAACCATCAGAATCAAAATCAGATGTAATAGAAATGTTGAAATGATTGGATCAGGAGTTTTAAAACATTATGATTAATATGTTAAGGAACTTAATAAAAAAAGACAACATTCAAAACAGAAGGAAAATGTAAGCAGAAAAATGGAAATTATAAGAAAAATAAAAAATAAATGCTAGAGATTAAAAACACTGTCACAGAAATGAAGAATGTCTTTGATGAGCTAATTAGTAGATTAGACATGGCTAAAGAGAGAATCTTTGAGCTTGAGGATTTTACAAAACAAACTTGAAAAACAGAAAAGTAGAGAAAAAAGGACTGAAAAAAGAAAACTCTAAAGAGAATATCCAAGAACTATGGGACAACTACAAAAGGCATAACATATTAGAAAGAGGAGAAAGAGACAAAACACCAGAAGGAATATTTGAAACAATACTGAGAATTTCTCCAAATTAATGTCAAACACTAAATTATAGGTATAGGAAGCTCAAAGAACATCAAGCAAGAGATATGCTTTAAAAAACCCTACGTCTATGCATATCATCTTTAAACTTCAGAAAATGAAAGAAACCAGATGAAAAAAATATCTCACCTTTAAAGAAGCAAAGATGAGAAGTATCTGACTTCTTAGAAACCATGCAAGCAAGAAGGGGGTGAACTAAAATATTTAAAGTGTTAAGAGAAAAAATCCACCCACCGAAAATCCTGCACCCTACTAAATTATATTTCAAAAGTGAAGGAGAAATATAGACTCTCTCAGAAAACAAAAATAGAGGGAATTTGTTTGTTGCCAGTAGCCATGCCTTCTGAGAAATGTTAAAAATTCTTCAGAGACAAGGGAAAGGATACTGGTCAAAAACTTTGGTCTACATAAAAAAGAAGAGCACTTGAGAACGAATAAGGGAAGGTAAATAAAAACCTTTATTTTTCTTATTCTGAGTTGATCTAACAGGTTACAGTTGTTAATAATTACAATATTGGATTCAATTATGTATGCTCATGTATAAGTGAAATGAATGAATATGTGATACAAGAGACAGGAGGGAAGAATTAGAAATATTTTATACAAGGTATTGGCACTACTTGTGAAGTAGTATATTATTTGAAAATAGACTTGGATTAGTTGTAAATCTACAGTGCAACTCTAGCACAACCACTAAAATAAATTTTAAAAGCAGCATGATTTATATGCTAAAAATAAGAGAACCATGGTGGAAGTCAGTGTGGTGATTCCTCAGGGAGCTAGAACTAGAAATACAATTTGACCCTGCAATCCCATTACTGGGTATAATACCCAAAGGATTATAAATCATTCTGCTATAAAGACACATGCACACGTATGTTTACTGCAACACTATTCACAAGAGCAAAGACTTGGAACCAACCCAAATGTCCAACAATGATAGACTGGATTAAGAAAATGTGGCACATATACACCATGGAATACTATGCAGCCATAAAAATTGATGAGTTCATGTCCTTTGTAGGGACATGGATGAAGCTGGAAACCATCATTCTCAGCAAACTATCGCAAGGACAAAAAACCAAACACCGCATGTTCTCACTCGTAGGTGGGAATTGAACAATGAGAACACATGGACACAGGAAGGGGAACATCACACACCGGGGCCTGTTGTGAGGTGGGGGGAGGGAGGAGGGATAGCATTTGGAGATACACCTAATGTTAAATGACGAGTTACTGGGTGCAGCACACCAACATGGCACATGTGTACATGTGTAACTAACCTGCATGTTGTGCACATGTACCCTAAAACTTAAAGTATAATAAAAAAAAATAAAAATAAAAAGAGAAAACAGAACCATGTAAAATGCTTCATTAGAAACCAAAAGGCAAAAAAAATGTGAAAGACAAAAGAGAGCAACAGAGAACAAAAGTAATGAATAAGAAACAGTAACAAACATGGTAGATATTGATTCAACTAAGCAATCACTATAACAGTTATCTAAATATACCAATTAAAAGACAGAGATTATAACAGTGGATCAAGAAACGAGACCAAACTACTTGCCATCTACAAGAAACATGCTTTAAATAAAAAGAAAATATAGATTGTAAGTAAAGGGTTGGAGAAAGGTATATAAGTGGTCGTAGCGATCTTAAATTTCAGACTGAGCAGAATTCAGAGCAAGGATAGTTATCAAAGATACATGGTGTATTACATAATGATAAATGATTTAATACTCCAGGAAAACATAAAATCCTTAATGTGTATGTACCTACCAAGACAGCATTAAAATATGTGAGACAAAAATGGATAGAACTACAAGGAAAAATAGATTTATTCACAACTAGATTTGAAGACTTTAACATTCGTCCATCAGAAATGAACAGAGGGATTTTGGGTCAAGGTGGCTCACTAGAAGTAGCTAGCGTGTGCTTCTCTGAGAGAGAAGACATAGAGTGGCAAGTAAACACTAGCTCTTCAACTAGATCATCCAGGAGGGCATGTTTAGAATCATCAAGGAAGTAATGAGACCCATGGAGAGTGGAGAAGAGTGAGAAAGGATAGCTGCCCACTAGGGACGGAAGTGGACCCAAGGCAGGGTATCCACCAAGGGAAACATTAAGTGAGCAAGAGTGCCTGGGGACCCACTCTTCTTCCATGGACCTATGCAACCCTGGGCACAGGAGATCCCCCTGGCCTCCCCTCAGTTCCTCCAGACTGACATGGAGAGCTACATGGAGTCAGGGCAGAGCCGCTTTTCAGGCCCATGAGGAACCCCAAGGGCCTTGGATTCCTGAACACCATGGCACCAGCTGTCTTAGCTCCACCAAGAAGGGAAGCCAGGCTCTCTTGCAACCACAGTGTTGAGAAGCAGACAGACTACAGGCCTCACTTTCACCAACACCTTGCTGGGCAAAGCCCACTGGCCTGGGACCCCGACACAGCCACCCCACCTCCACCTGGGCACTAGGGCCAGTAGCCACTCTGCATTTCTCTGGGATGCTGATCCCAGAGGTAACCAACAGGCCTGCCCTTTTTGACACTGCTGCAGCCCCCACCCCTTCTGCCCTCAGGCTGCAGTTAGAGCAAAGGGTCTAAGACTTGCAGGCCTCCAGCATACCACAGTTGCCTTATGGAAAAGTGGCCAGACTTCCACAGGGGTCCCTGTCCCTGCTACTCCTCACTGAGCAGTGCCTCCTGACCTGGGTGTACAGAACAGCCTCCTTGTCCCAACCTGGGCACTTAGGTTGGTGGTGGCTCTGCATTTCTCTGGGGAGGAAATCCCAGAGACAACCTAGAATCTCAGCCATGCTGCTACAGAGGAACTACCCTTGCTACCCTTGGGCTGGAAAGAGAATAAAGACCCTGATCACTTTGCTGACACCCCCAGCACACTGCAACCAGCATAAGGAGAGGAGCCCAGTCTCTCTTCCCTGTGAGCCCTTGACTCCATGCTCTTTACCAGGCAGGGCCTCCAGATTGGGCTTGCAGTGCAGCCACCCCACCACAATGAACATTCCCATTGGCAGTGGCTTTGTGTCACTCCATCATGAAGTTCCCAGAGGAAACTGACAGCCCCTCTGCCACTGCTGTAGCAGCAGAACCTTCCCTTACCAGTGCTACCTGGTCCCCTACCACCAGGCTGTGGAAGGAACAAAAAGACTGAGTTCTTTACTCACACCTCCAGCATAACCCAGCTGCCCTAGAAAGGAGAGGCCAGACTGTCTTACCCATGAACCCTCTGACATCCCTGCTCTTTACCAGGCAGCTTGGGCTTGCAATGCAGCCACTCCACCCTGGACTGATCATTCTAATTGACAGCAGTTCTAAGTTTCTCTTGGGTGGAGCCCCAAGAGATAAGTGAAAGGGCCTCTGTCATTGCCACTGTCAAGGTCCCCATCCCTGCTGCCCCCCAGCTGGGGAAGGAACAAAAAGCCTTAGCTTGCTCCAGGGCTGTGATGCACAGCCCCAGAGGGCCAAGCTGAGATCTGTGACCAGCACTCAAGTAGGAGAGGAGCCTACACTCTTAGCACTGAGAAGGGGCATGGATGCAAAAACTAGGAAATACAGAGGAACCAAGTGGCTAAGAGCCTGTCTACTGGTCATTACTCTTAAGCACCATATACTGGATTAGAGCCCAAATTTCAACACCAAAAAATACTACGCTAATATAGACCTCTGTGAAACCAGGGACTAGAATTCAGCCACAAAAAAAGAACTTGCACAAAGCCTTGGCCCTCTGGAAACATCCAGAAATGAAGCTAACCGACCAGGCTCAAATTACACCACAGTTAAAGGAACATCAGCCCACACAGATGTGAAAGAACCAGCACAAGAACCCTGGCAACTCTAAAATCAAAAGTGTCTCCATACATTCAAACTGCCACACTAGCTCCCCAGTAATGGATGTTAACCAGAATGAAATGGCTGAAATGAAAGACATAGAATTGAGAATCTGGATAGCAACAAAGATCATCGAGATTCAAGAGGAAGTTGAAACCCATTCCAAGAAATCTAAAGAATCCAGTAAAATGATTCAAGAGAATGAAAGATAAAATAGCCATTTTAAGAAAGAACAAAAGTGAGCTGATAGAACTGAAAAACTCACTATATAAATTTCATAACACAATCAGAAGTATTGACAGCAGAACAGACCAAGATGAGGAAAGAATATCAGAGCTTGAAGAGTGGTTCTTCAAATTAACTCAGTAAGACAAAAATAAACAAAAAAGAACTAAAAAAAAAAAATAAACAAAACCTCTGAGAAAGACGGGATTATGTAAAGAGATAAAATCTATGACTCATTGGCATTCCTGGAAGACACGGAGAGGAAGCAAGCAAATTGGAAAACATATTTGAGGATACTGTCCTTCAAAATTTCTTCAACCTTACTACAGGGGTTGACATTCAAATTCAGAAAATTCAGAGAAGAGCACCCTTGCAAGATACTATATAAGACAAACATCCCCAAGACACATAGTCATCAGATTCTTCAAGGTCAACACAAAAGAAAACATATTAAAGGCAGCTAGAGAGAAGGGGTAGGTCACCTACAAAGGGAAACTCATCAGACTAACAGTTGATTTTTCAGCAGAAACCCTACAAGCCAGAAGATGTTGTGGGCCTAATTAAGAATCCTTAAAGAAAACAAATTTCAACCAAGAATTTCATATCCAGCAAAACTAAGCTTCATAAGTGAAGGAGAAATAAAATCCTTTACAGACAAGCAAATGCTAATGGAATTTGTAACCACCAGACCTGACTTCCAAGAGGTCCTTAAGGAAGTGCTAAATGGAAATGAAAGACCATTACCTGACACCACAAAAACACACTCAAGTACATAGACTACTGACTCTATAAATCAAATACACAATTATGTCTACATAGCAACCAGCTAACAACATGATGACATGATCAAATCCATACATATCAATATTAACCTTGAACATAAACAGGCTAAATGCTCCACTTAAAAGGCACAGAGTGGTAAGCTGGATAAAGAAGCAAGACCTAAATGTATGCTTTCTTTGAAGAGACCCATCTCACAGGCAAGAAAACCCATAGACTCAAAGTAAAGGGATGGAGAAATATCTATTAAGCAAACAGAAAACAGAAAAGAGCAGGGGCTGCTATTCTTATCTTAGACAAAACAGACTTTAAGCCAACAATGATTGATCAAAAATGACAAAAAGAAAGGGCATTACATAATGATAAAAGGTTTGATTCAACAAGACGTAATTATCCAACCAATGGAACAGGTTAGAAAACACAGAAATAAAACTGTACACTTACAATGATCTGATCTTTGACAAAGCAGACAATAACAAGCAGAAAAGGCCTCTCTATTCAATAAATGGTGCTGGGATGACTGGTTAGCCATGTGCAGAAGATAGAAACTGGACCCTCCCCTTTCACCATATACAAAAATCAACTTGAGATGGATTAAAGACTTAAATGTAAAACCTAGCATTACAAAAACTCCAGAAGAAAACCTAGCAAATACCATCCTGGATATCAGTCTTGGCAAAGATTTCATGACAGAGACTCCAAAAGCAATTGCAAAAAAATCAAAAGTTGACAAGTGGGACCTCATTAAACTAAAGAGCTTCTGCACAGCAAAATAAACTCTCAACTGAATAAACAGACAGCCTACAGAATGGGAAAAATATTTGCAAACTATCCATCTAACAAAGGTCTAATATCCAAAATCTATAAGAAACTTAAATAAATTAACAAGCAAGAAACAAATGGCCCCATTAAAAAATGAGCAAAGGACAGGAACAGACATGTCTCAAAAGATGACATACACATGGCCAACAAGCATATGAAAAAATGCTCTATATCACTAATCATTAGGGAAACGCAAATCAAAACCACAATGACACACCATCTCATACCCATTAGAATGGCAATTATTAAAAAGTTAAAAAACAGCAGATGCTGGTGAGGTTGCAGAGAAAGGGAATGCTAATATACTGCTGGTGAAAATGTAAATTAGTTCAGCCACTGTGGAAAACAGTCTGGAGATTTCTTAAAGAAGTTAAAATAGAGTTACCATTCAACCCAGCAATCCCATTACTGGCTATATATATCCAAAAGAATATAAATCATTCTACCATAAAGACACATGCACCCATATGTTCATCACAGCACTATACACAGTATCAAAGACATAGAATCAACCTAAATGCCTGACAATGGTGGAGTGGATAAAGAAAATATGGTACAAATACACCACGGAATACTATACAGCCATAAAAAAGAAAAGATTGCACCTTTTGCGGCAACATGGATGAAACTGGTGGCCGTTATCCTAAGTGAATTAAAACAGGAACAGAAAACCAAATACCGCATGTTCTCACTTATAAGGGGGAAATAAATATTGACTCAAGAAGGGTATAATAGATATTAGGGCTTAATTAAGGTGGAGGGTGAGGATTGTAAAACCACCTATTGGGTATTACCTTGATTGCCAAGGTGACAAAATTATCTGTATTCCAAATCCCACAATATGCACCTTACCCATGTAACATACTTGCACATGTATCCCTTGAACCTAAAAAAAAATTGGAAGATAAAAAAATGAACAGATCTAGCAGGCAGAAAATCAGTAGACATAGTTGAATTCAGCAGGACATCAATCAATTGGACATAATTGACATCTATAGACTACTTTATCCAACAAGAGCAGATTGCAAATTCTTCCCCAGCTCACGTGGAACATTCAACAAGATAGACCACATTCTGGGCTATAAGACTGACCTTAACAAATTTAAAATAATAGAAGTCATACAACTTCTATTCTTAGATCATATGGATTAAACTAGAAATCAATAACAGAAAGATAGCTGGAAAATACCAAAAGAACTGGAGATTAAATAACATACCTCTAAATAACACATGAGTTAAGAAAGAAATCTCAAGAGAAACTAAAAAAGTTTCGAATGAATGAAAATAAAAATAAAATTTATCAAAATGTGTGAGATAAGAGTGAAAGTGTGCTCAAATGAAAATTCAGAGCATTGAATTTCAGAAAAGAATCAGATATTATATATATCAGAAAGGAATAAAGATCTAAACTCAGAATTCAAAGCTTCCTTCTTAGGAAACTAGAAAAAGAAGAGCAAATTAAATCTAAAAGTAAGCAGAAGAAAATAATGAAAGAGCAGAAATCAATGAAATTAAAATCAGTTAATCAATACAGAAATTCGACAAAGCCAAATCTGGTTCATTGAAAAGATTAATAAAATAGATAAGACTCTGGCTAGGCTAACAAAAAAAAGGAGAGAAGATACAAAGTACTGATACTGGAAATCAAAGAGAGGATGTCACTACAGATTCTGTGGACATTAAAGGATAATAAAGAAATATTAGGAACAACTCTATGCCCCCAAATTTGATAACATAGATGAAATGGACCAATTCCCTGAAAAACACAGTCAGCTAAAACCCACACAAGAAGGAATAGAAAATTTGAATAGGCCCTTATCTAATTCAAATAAGAATTTGAATTAATAATCAATAACCTCTCCAAACAGAAATCACCAGGCCCAGATGGGCTCACCAATGAACTTTACCAAACACTTTAGGAAAAAATTTTACCAATTCTCTAAAATCTCTTTCAGAAGATAGAAGTAGAAGGAATATTTCCTAACTCATTTTGTGAGGCTAGCATTACCCTAAGAACAAAAGCAGGCAAAGACATTACAAACAAAGAACACCAATGAATCAACTACAGACCAACGCTTCTCAAAAATATAGATGCAAGACTGCTGAACAAAGTATTGGCAAATCAAAACCAACAATGTACAAAAGGAATTATAACTACAATCAAGAGGGATTTATTCCAGGTATGCAAGGCTGATTCAACATTTGGATATCAGTTAACATAATCCATCACATCAACAGCTAAAGAAAACAAAATTACATGATCATATCAATAGGTGTAGGAAAAGTATTTGACAAAATCCAACATTCAGTCATGATAAAAACTCTCAGTAAACTAGGAATTAAGGTAATTTCCTCAACTTGATAAAGAACATTTACAAAAACCTATAGCTAAAATATACCTAATGGTGAGAAACTAGAAGCTTTCCCACTAAAATCAGAAGAAAGGCAAGGATGAGCCCTCTCACCACTGCTTCTCAACATCATACTGGAAGTTCCGGCTAATGCAATAAGACAAGAAATGGAAATAAAAGGCATGCAGATTAAAAACAAAGAAATAAGACCGCCTTTGTTCACGGATGACATGATAACTGTAAAGAAAATCTAAAAGATTCAATAAAAAAGCTCCTAGAACACATAATCAAGTATAGCAAGGTTGCAGAATACATGGTTAATATTCAAAAGTCAACTGCCTTTCTCTATATCATCAGTGAACAGGTGAAATTTAAAGTTAAAAATCCATTACCATTTACATTTGCACTTCCAAAAATGAAACACTCAGTTATAAATCTAACAAAATGTGCACAAGACGTACATGAGGAAAACTACAAAATTCTGACAAATGATATCAAAAGACTAAATAAATGGAAAGGTATTCCATGTTCAAGGGTAGGAAGACTGTATATCCTCAAGATGTCAGTTATTTCCAATTTGATGTATAGATTCAATTCAATCCAAATCAAAGTCCCAGCAAGTTATTTAATGGGTATCAACAAACTGATATTAAAGTTCACATGGAGTGGAAGAAATCCATAATAGCCAACTCAATATTAAAGACTGACACTGAAAAATATTGGAGGCCTGACACCACCTGACTTCAAGACTTACTATAATGTTACAGGAATCAAGACACTGCTGTGTTGCTAAAAGAATAGACAAATAGATCAATGGCATATAACAGAGTCCAGAAATAGACCTATATACAGTGAGCTGATCTTTGATAAAGGAGTAAACACAATAAAATGGAGCAATGGCCTCTTTTCAAAAAATGGTGCTGGAACAACCTGAAATCCACTTACAAAAAAAGTGAATCTAGACACAGTCTTACATTCTTCACAAAAAGGTGGGTGGATCATGAGGTCAGGAGTTCAAGACCAGCCTGGCTAACATGGTGAAACCCCGTCTCTACTAAAAATACAAAAATTAGCCGGGCGTGGTGGCATGCACCTGTAATCCTAGCTACTCAGGAGGCTGAGGCAGGAGAATTGCTTGAATCCAGGAGGCAGAGGTTGCAGTGAGCCAAGATCGTGCCACTGCACCCCAGCCTGGGTGACAAAGTGAGACTCTGTCTCAAAAAGAAAAAATTAATTACTTCACAATAAAGCATAGACCTGAATTAAAAATGCAAAACCATAAAAATCCTAGAAGATTAGGATAAAAGAAATCTAGGTGACCTTAGGTATAGCAATGACTTTTCAGGCAAGATGCTAAAGACATGATCTATGAAAGAAAGAATTCATAAGCTGGGCTTCATTAAAATTAAAATGTATTTTTAAAAATATATAAGTAAATAATTTATTTGGGCCAAGCTTCAGGATTGCAATCCAGGAGCATAGATTCAAGTTGCCCTAAATATATACTCCCAAAATTAAAACCTCAGTTCAGTGAAAGACAATGTCAAGAGAATGAGAAGATAAGCCACAGACTTGGGGAAAACATGTGCAAAACATCTGATAAAGGAATGGTATCCAAAATAGACAAGGAACTTTTAAAAGTTAAGAGGAAAACAGACAATTTCCAATTAAAAATGGGAAGACCTGAATAGAGACTCCCCAAAGAAGATGTATGATGGCAAGTAGTCATATAAAAGATGCTTAGCATTTTATATTATTAGTGAATTGCAAATTACAGCAACAATGAAATACCTCCATACACCTATTAGAATGGCCAAAACCCGTAACACTGACAGCAACAAGTGCTGGTGAGGATGTAGAGCAACTGGAACTCTCATTCATTGCTGATGGAAATGCCAAAAGGTACAGCCACTTTGGAAGACAGTTTGGTAGCTTCTTACAAAACTAAACACACTTATCATGTAATCCAGCAATCATATTTCTTGGCATTTCCTCAACAGATTTGAAAACGTTTGTTCACACAAAAACCTGCTCAAGTGTATTTATAGCAGCTTAATCCATAATTACCAAAATTTGGAAGGAACCAAATTTGGATGTACTGCAGTAGGTAAATGGATAAATGGTGATGCATCCAGACAGTGAAATATTATTCAGCACTAAAAAGAAATGAACTATCGAACTGTAAAAAGACAGAGGAAACTCAGATTTGTATTATGAAATGAAGATGCTTATCTGAAAAGGCAGCACACTGTATCATTAATTGCAACTATATGACATTCTGAAAAAGACAAAACCATGAAGACAGTAAAAATAGTAGTGGTTGACAGGGATTTGGGGGAAGGAAGAATAAACAAATATGCAAAACACAGGGGACATTTAGGCAGTGCAACTATTCCGTATGATACAATGGTGAGTATGTGTCATCGTCCATTTGTCAAAACCCATAGAATGTATAAAACCAGGAGTGAAATCTAATGTAAACTATGGACTTTGAGTCACAATGTGTTAAGGTATGTTTGTGAATTGTAACAGATGTATCATTGTGTTGCAGGATGTCAATAGCGGGGTGGTTGTGCATGTGTGGGGACAGGGGACTTATGGGAACTCTGTACCTTCTGAGTAGTTTTGCTGTGAACCCAAAACTGCCCTAAAAATAAAGTTTAACCAAAAAAAAATCCATTTTTCAGTCATGCTAGCCTCATTCAAGGCATAATAGCCACATGTGACTACTGGCCACCATTTGGATAGTGTAGGTGAAAAAAAAAAAAGTTGATTATTTATCTTTAGAAGCACTCTTAACAAGAGTTACACATCCACTTTGAGAAGAATCATCATGATTATGGTTCATTCTGTACTTTTTATGTCCCACCCACATAGTTCTGTCACTCTAAAAATTTTTTTAAAAATAAAAAAGAAGGAAAAACTAAAGCATATTTCGAGTTACTAGAGTGTTTGATGTCTAAGGCCAAACTAGACTGTGCCTTTTCACAGTCTTATTGATACTCAAGACAAGATTTAGTCCAAGCACTTTCTACAATATTATACCACCAATGCACCTAGATTTTTTTCCCAAATGTGATCACTATTATGAAGAATCACTGGAACATCTCCCTAATATCAAACACAGAGAAAAAATGAAAAAAACATCTTTTGAGTATTCACTTATTCACATATTGAGAACAATGTTAATAAGGCATTCAGCTAATTTTTTATCTCAATTTTTTAGAGTCTTTTGATGATTATTGTTAACATGTCAACTAAAAAATGATTACAAAGAGACATGTAACAGTCTTTCCATTAAACAGATATATAGATATATAGATTTAATATGGTTCTTAGTGGTACCCAAAAGTTTATACAGTTTTTGCCCAACCTAATAATCTGTAAAATCCTTTATCCATGCAGTGTCTCCAAGAAAATTTACTGAAAAACTCATCTATGAGATCACAACTTGCTGAAAAATTGATAAATTAGGAAGACCGTTTGGCCTTTACAAATCCAAAAAGTGCATGAACTGCCTTAGTTCATCTTTCTTCTCCCATACATCATCTAGCCATCTTGCTAGTTGTTGTAGTGCTTTACCATGAAGTCAATCACACTACTTTTTTACTTTTCTTGCAGATAGTTAGAAACATGAAACCATACATAGGTTGTCCCTTCACAGCTGTGATCATTATGACACTCAAACTGTAGATGCATCAGATTTGTAAACCTGTGTTAGTCCTAACAAGCAAGGCAGTTTGTACCTGGCATTCACTATCACAAACTTTAAGGAAATACCAGAAAAGTTGCTCTAGTGAACAAGAAAAAAATTCATGCAAGGATTAATTTTGTCATACAGCACAAGGACTTCAAAAGACATGATCCCTTCTAACATTGAAAGACAATAGAGATTTCCTTTATTTATTGTCATAAATGCATATTTCTCTATTCATACAACTTAAAATTGAAGAAGGGAAAAACAGACACTGAATGAGCTAAATTTTGATTTCTGTTTCCAGTGGGTTTCAAAAACAAAACAAGAGGAAAGGGCTTATGTGATTGTTGTAGGATCTTTTTGACTTGTAAATGTGTCTTTAATGTACATATTTTTATGCACTACAGCATTATATTTTAAAAAATACTGCTTGTAGAATACACCTTTCTGTTAAATAATAATTTGTTAAGCAGTAGGTGTATATTTTTTCACTCCCAAGATGTTAAAACAAAATCCAAATATATAAATTTAGCAAAGTTGAAAGACAAAATAAACACACAAAATTAGTTGCATTTATAAACACAAACAATGAACAATCCAAAAAAGAAACGAAAACAAATGTATTTACAATATCATCAAAAAGAAGAAAATACCTAGAAATAAAATTAACCAAAAAAGTGAAAGACTTGTGTACTGAAAACTATAAAACATTGCTGAAAGAAATTAAAAACAAAATAAATGGAAAGACATCTCACGTTCATGGATTGGAAAATTTAGTATTATTAAGATATCAATACTACTTAAAGTACAGACTAAACGTAATCTCTACCAAAATCCCAATCACTTTTTTTAAAAAATAGAAAAATTAACCCTAAAATTCATATGAAATCTCAAAGGATCCTCAAATAGCCAAAACAATCTTGAAAAAGAATAAATTTGGAGATCTTAGATTTCCTGATTTCAAAACTTACTACAAAACTAGAATAATCAGATGAGTGTGGTACTGGCTACAGACAGCCATATAGACCAAGAGAAGAGAATGGAGAACCCAGAAACAAAGTCTTGCACACGTGATCAATTGATTTTCAACAAGGGTGCCAAAACCATTCAATGGTCAAAGGAGAGTCCTTTCAAGAGATGGTGCTGGGGAAACTGGATATACACATTCAAAAGAACAGGCTGAACATGGTGGCTCATACTGTAATCTCAACACTTTGGGAGGCTGAGGCAAGAGGATCACTTGAAGCCAAGAGTTCAAGACAAGCCTGGGCAACATAGTGACATGCCATATGTACAAAAAACATTTTTTAAAATTAGCTGGGCATGGTGGCAGGTGCCTGTAGTCCCAGCTACTTGGGAGGCTGAGGTAGGAGAATCACTTGATCCTAGGAGATCAAGCCTACAGTAAGCTATGATCATGCCACTGTTCTGCAGCCTGGGCAACACAGCAAGACTCTGTCTCTAATAATAATAATAATAATAATAATAATAATAATAATAAATAAAGTTGGATGTTTACCTAATACCATATATAAAAATTAACTTAAAATGGATCAGACCCAAACATGATAGCTAAAGCTTTAAAATTCTTAGTTTGCTTTAACTGTTTAGATTTTTAGCTTATTGTGATATATTTAGCTTACTGTAATATGCTTATTAACTACTTATCTTTTTAACTTATTGTAATATCATTGTTTAGCTTTTTAGCTTATTATAATATAAAGATTATAATATTACAATATTTTTAATAAAGCACCATTTAGGTTAGATCTAAGAACCTATGTGATAATAAGAGATGTCACTTGCTGCCTGGTAAAGATTCATTGTCATTACTTTCCACTAAAAAACATGAAATTCTGAGTTTTGTTTAGATCTCAAAGTCCCTGAGCATAAACTCAGCTCTCATGTCCTCACGCTTCGTTAACAACCACAAACAAATCCATTTTTGCAGGATTTAAGCCCTTTTTTTTTTTTTTTTTTTTGAGACGTAGTCTCACCTTGTCACCCAGGCTGGAGTGCAGTGGTGCGATCTTGGCTTACTGCAACCTCTGCCTCCTGGGTTCAAGCAATTCTCCTGCCTCAGCCTCCTGAGTAGCTGGACTACAGGTGTGCGCCACCACGCCGGGCTAATTTTTGTATTTTTAGTAGAGAAGGGGTTTCACCGTGTTGGCCAGGACGGTCTTGACCTCTTGACCTCGTGATCCGCCTGTCTCTGCCTCCCAAAGTGCTGGGATTACAGGCGCGAGCCACCGCACCCAGCCACCCTTTCAATAGTCTGCAGGGTTTTCTACTTCTAATTTCTTTGTGATGGTTTGCTGTAAACAAGACGGAGGGAAGTCTGGAGTGTCTTTCTTTTAATGAACCTTGCTGACCCTCTGACTGGACCTTGGTGGAGATGGTTACATATGCACAGAGATGAGCTTTTATCAGCCACAGAGTCTTAAAAAGGCCCTCCAGGATTTCCCTTTCTACAACATTCTGGAGAATAAAAATCTTCTCTGGAATGTTTGCTTACAAATATATCAATTCTTGCTTTTAACAATCTTCTGAGGGTTTAATTCAGATAAAAGTTTGGTTATGGCTATCTTGTGCTTTTCCTTTTTTTCATGGAATTCATTTTTTTGGTTGTCCTTTTTGACATCAATCAAAAGAGGGATGTTAGAATATGTTCTATTTTAGAATCATATTTGATTAGTAAGAGTAGAATCCTCAACACTCTGTTGACTCAAGAATCTCCTGAAATCAGGCGGTTTGTTCCCACTGTTTTGAATTTAGGTCTTTTTCAACTAGTATTTATGTTCAATAAACAACTTAACATAGCTGTTTTAACCTTCCTTGTTATTCAAGAAAGCAAAGACCACAGCTCTCAACTTATATGGGATAGCCAACCCGGAGGCTATTCTCAAGGTTGTTTTAAAATCTTCAGCTTTAAAAATTTTATTTGCTGAATAATTCAAATACAGAATCTTATATGTCTATCACTTCCCAGTGGGATCTTCTCAAGGCAATTCATGAAGCAGTTTGCAGAAGATAAATTACATTTTTTTGAAAACTGTGAGTTATAAGATAAAGAGCACATCACTGTCACACGCAATTAGGAGAGACTAAGATGTTACCTGCTTTAAACTTGTATTTAACAATTCTCTTCTCCTTTTTTTCCTTAGGGGAAGTGATTCAGTTAGACAAATTCTTAGTCGTAAAGCTCAGCAAAGACAGATGTCAGCCAGCTTTAGTTCAGTTGAACAATGTGGGGGTTAGGATGCTGATCCCTGCACAGTTGAAAATTCATGTATAACTTTTGACTCTCCCAAAACTTAACGACTTATAGCCTACTGCTGGCCAGAAGCCTAACCAATAACACAATTAACACATATTTTATATGCTCTGTGTATTATATACAGTATTCTTACAATAAAGTAAGCTAGAGAAAAGAAAATGTTATTAAGAAAGTCATAAGGGGGATGAGTGCAGTGGCTCATGCCTGTAATCCCAGCATTTTGGGAAGCTGAGGCAGGTGGATCACTTGAGGCCAGGAGTTCCAGACCAGCCTGGCCAACATGGCGAAACCCCATCTCTACTAAAAGCATAAAAATAAGCGGGCATGGGGGCACATGTTTGCAATCCCAGCTACTCCAGAGGCTGAGGCAGGATAATTGCTTGAACCTGGGAGGCAGAGGCTGCAGTAAGTTGAGATCGCGCCACTGCACTCCAGCCTGAGCGACAGAGTGAGACTCTGTCTCAAAAAAAGAAAGGAAGGAAGGAAGGAAGGGAGGAAATACCTGGAGGGGGCGCCTGGGCTTTGTATTATTTTGTTTTGGGAAAGAAAAGAAAGAAGAAAAGAGAAACGAAATGAAAAGAAAATAAAATCATAAAGAGGAGAAATACATTTACTATTAGTTAAGTAGAAGTGGACAATCATATAGGTCTTCATCCTCATCTTCACATTGAAGGGACGGAGGAGGAGGAGGAACGGTTGGTCTTGCTGTCTCAGAGGTGGCAGAGGTGGAAGAAAATCTGAGTATAAGTGAACCCATGCAGTTCAAACCCATGTTGTTCTAGGGCCAACTGCATTTTTAAAATAACTGCTTTGGAAGATCTGTGTGTATGTGTGTGTATGATCTGAGAAATTAGTTAGAAGAAAAGAGGAACGAGGAGTAGAAAAATACCAGCATTTCTGATGGTCAGTTTCTTTTAATTATAGAGAGAATTCAGCGTTCACCAAAGTTGGCTTAATTACTCATTTTCTCAGTAGAAAATTTCTAAGTGTGGGGTTTGACTGATTTTTACAGAAAGAGAATAGAAGTCTTTCAAATTTGTGGGTAAGAATGATTCACCCTTCTTGCTTTTGTTAAGAAATAATTGTGAATGTTAAATTACATTAATTTTGCTGCCTGAATTGAGTTTTGAATGCTTGCTATTTCTTTCTCAGCCAAAGGATATTTAAAATGATGCCAATGGAACTCATTGATTTTAACTACAATATTTGTTGAAAACAAATACGTATATCAAGGTTACTTCATATGTCTTTTTCAAACAAAATCTCTTCCTGTGGGTGGATGTTTAACAGAAATTACACTTAGGTATTGCCAAACTTCAAAGAAAGGAAGACTTACTCATCTTTTGGATGGAGAAAGGATTCATTTACCAGACCTGACTTGGTGATTGCAGATCTTTGACTGAATTGCCTCGGAGTCTAGATTTCTCTGATAAAGAAAGACTCATTCAAACTCAGTAAATCACAAGAAAAAGAAAGAAAAATGGGGAGGAGGGAATGGGATCAATATTCTAAAAGTCTAGGATTCTAGTTTAGTTTAATTTTATAGTTATATGATGAAGAAGAGAGGAGAAGCCTGGCTAGAAAGGTGGATGTTTGTCACTCAATTAATGTTTTTTTGCTTTTACCCAATTCATGTTCTTGAAGCTGCTACATTTACTGACCTACAATAAGTGTAGAGAGGATGAACTATATTGATAATCCTGTTTATTGACCAGATTGAATACTCAGGTTTGATTTTTGCATTTTTGGATATGTTTTAAAGGTAGAAGATCTTAAATTCATATTCAAAATACCTTTTATCCTGCCTTTCACTTAAGGAAAATTATCTGGAAATTGAAAGTCCTCCAGGCAAAGGTCTGGCTGTGATATTACTTCTGGGCGACACTTCTCACAAGAGGGAAGATAAGTAAATTGCTCTGACTGCTTTTTATTCTTGAGGTTCCTGCTCCCCCCAATCCCCTGCCTGCAAAGTTATTAGATAAGTAAAATAAGGTTGAAGAAACATAAGGGATAGTCTTGGAGAGGAAATGAAGTTTTTAAAGAGCATCCAAAAAACGTGAGGGTGGGGGAAGAGATCTAGAACCCTATATGGTGAGGGAGGTTGATGGGGGAAGAGGGTTTGAAATTGGATATTTCCCCTATTCCAATTCATTTGCCTTGGATACACCTGGAGGGGGCACCTGGGCTATGTTTTATTTTGTTTTGGCATGAATTGGACAGGTACTTCCTTCTCCATTAGCTCCCTCCCTAAGTTACAGCTCCTCCATCAGCTTGGGTTCTATTAATGTACTAAATTCCTGGGCAGTTGTCCAGTTCCCCCCATTGTAGGGACATCTCTAGTTACATCTACAGTGATAGCCCCTTGAGGTTTCTATAGTCCTGTTGCTATGGAAACACCATTTTGGCAGGATCTAAAAACCCTAGGAAAAATGCCTAAAGGTTTGAAACATTGCTTCAGATCCAAAATAAACCCTCCCTTGGCATAACCCATTTACATTTTTTTAATTAATTAATTTATGCTTTAAATAACAAATTATATTAGTTAAAAATAAAGTCTCTCTTATCCAAACGCTGGAAAAAGACAATACTTTGAGGGCTTTTTTTTCTATTTGAGCAATTTTTATAAACTTTAGAGAAGCTGGATTTAAGAAATCCTCTAGATTTCCAATTCTGAGAATTTTCTTAGGCGGAACATTCAGCTCTCAGACAAAATGAGATGCTCTTACACAGCTGCAAGAAAGTAAAGAGAAAATTAAATGCAAAGTAAGAAGGAAGGAAATAATGGCGATTAGGAGAGAAACAGTACCAAATTATAAAGCAATTGATAGATAGGTATTGCTAGTTTTTTCACTTGGTGTATTTATGCTCCCTGTTCCTGTAAACTTAGGTACTGTCAGACCACAGATCCCTGTTCCTGGGGAGAATGCACCAGGGAATACAAGAAAGTAGTGGTCCACAACCTTTTTGGCACCAGGGACTGGTTTCATGGAAGACAATTTTTCCGTGGACCGACGGTTGGAGGTGAGGGTGATAGTTTCAGGATGATTCAAGCACATTACATTGGTTGTGTACTTTATTTCTATTATTATTACATTGTAATATATAGTGAAATAATTATGCAACTCACCATAATATTGAATCAGTGGGGGGCCCTAAGCTTGTTTTCCTGCAACTAGTCGGCCCCATCTGGAGGTGATGGGAGATAGTGACCAATCATCAGGCATTAGATTCTCATAAGGAGTGTGCAACCTAGATCCCTCACATGCGCAGTTCACAATAAGGTTCACGCTCCTGTGAGAACCTAATGCCCCCGCTGATCTGACAGGAGGCGGAGCTCAGGTGAGCAATGCAGAGCGGCTGTAAGTACAGATGAAGCTTCGCTTGCTCACCTGCCGCTCACCTCCTACTGTGCGGCCTCGTTCCTAACAGGACCAGGGGTTGAGAACTCCTGCAATAAAGTTTCCAGTCAACTTGAAACTATCACTACCACTTGCTCATTTGGGGCTCCCTATATTAGTGGATCAACCAACAGTGAAGAAAGTTACTATAATGGTAAGAGTAATTGTTAGTGATTATGTCAGAGGCATGTGAACAAGAGTAATCCATCTTGAATAGGAGCTGGGTAAAATGAGGCTGAGGCCTACTGGGCTGCATTCCCAGACAGTTAAGGCATTCTACATCACAGGAAGAGAGAGGAGGTCAGCAAAAGATACAGGTCATAAAGACCTTGCTGACAAAACAGTTTGCAGTAAGGAAACCAGCAAAGTCTCACCAAAACCAAAACGGCAATGAGAGTGACCTCTGGTCATCCTCACTGCTACACTCCCACCAGTGCCATGACAACTTACAAATGCCAGGGCAATGTCAGGACATTACCCCATATGGTCTAAAAAGGGGGGGGAATGAATAATCCAACCCTTGTTTAGCATATCATGAAGAAATAACCATGAAAATGGGCAACCAGCAGCAATGGGGTTGCTCTGTCTATGGAGTAGCCATTCTTTTATCCTTTTACTTTCTTAATAAACTTGTTTTTTCTTTGCACTGTGGACTCTCTCTGAATTCTTTCTTGCACAAGATCCAAGAACCCTCTCTTGGGGTCTGGATTAGGACTCCTTTCCTATAACAGTTACCATGAGGAGTTAGGGGTGCTGCTGCATGGTGAGGAGAGAAGGAACACAGCTACAAATTCAGATTTCTTGGAGCATCTCTTGGTGCTTCTTGATGCCTGGTAACAATGGTCACCAGGCAACTAGAGGATACACAGCCTAACAAGGACAAAGCAGTGAACATTCAGATCCTTCATTGAAGACCTAAGTTGCCCCTCCCAGGGTTGGGTTGATGTAGATCAACCCAAGTGCTGCCTGGAGCTAAGGAGGATCAGGATTGGATGCTGGAGAGCAGAGATGAAGAATATCAACTATGGCCTCAGGGCCAGCAGGGTTTGGAGCTTCTTCCACTTATTGTTTTCTATGAAGTCTTTGTGGTATTTTGGCTGGCTACCACCACGAAGGGACTTGGGGAGAGATGGGTGTTAAGAGGAAAGGAGGGCATTTGAGGAGTGGAAGGGGCCAACCGTTAATGGACATCACACGTGTGCTATTTCAGATGCACTCAGCCCCATCTCTGACCCCAGTCACTGCTGCAGAGACCCATTCCAAGGAGGTGTTGATTGGTTTTGCAGAGTCTTGCCTCTGGTTCACACTGCATTCCTCTTTCTCCTGCCCTGGGCTTCTTTGATGTGATGGCTTGAGCCCCTTTCCAGGAATGCTCTTAGTACTCAGGTGTGTATAACCTGGAAGTGGAGATGGGGAGATAATGCTGGCAGGGCCAGTGTTGAACACAGGGACAAGAGCCTGTAGATAAAGCCTCTTCCTTTCCCAGGTAAACTATTCTGAGGCATATTTCTTGAGCCTCATCAGAAGGTCCTGTGTGATGGTGTTCCCATAGTCCTGGTCAACTTAATAAAAACACAGATGGTATTGACCTTTCTTCCTTCTCTGTTTCAGTTTGCCGGTCCTTCACTTCTGCTCCCTGGGATCACCTCCAAAATGACTTGCTTTCACCCTGTCCTTTGTCTTCCCAGCTGCTTTGAAGGAAACCCAGTCTAGGACACTGATCTTCATAACAGAGCATTAATTTCCTCTGGCCACCCAGAGAGGCATTCATTCTTAACTTCCTTTAGCCATGCTTCAGTGCAATTTGGAGTTAGTATACTTGAATAAGCCAATTCTACTTTGGAGAATTAAGTTTGGCACTTTTCCCCAGAAAGGACTTTCTTCTTTGCTGACCTCATTGCTAATGGCCTCATTTATGTCTCTAGTTCTTCTTCTTTTGGGAGTTTGAAATAACACACCCAATTTCTTTAAAACAAACAAACAAAGATCTAGCTAGTCTTTTCACATTAACCTTGTTCAGAAGGTACCTGGTCAATATCCAGGATTTAGCAATTAACTAGTATATTCCATCTAGTGTTCCCCTTTACCCCTTAGTTGCTGCATTTATTTTCTTTACTGTTTCAGAGTCTTTGCAACCTTGTTTTCTTCCCTTTAAATGACCGACTATTTTCTTTGGCATGGCCCCAGAGAAAACCAACAGTTAAACTTATTGCTATGTGAAAGAGCTGCGTTTGTTTAGAAGTTGCTCAGAAGGCCGTGAGAGCAAGCGACCTGGATGATAGGAAGTAGCCCCGGGAAACTCACAAGTATTTTTTTTTTTCCTGTCTTTCTGCCAGGATGCTGGTTTTTCCTCGGCTAATAGCCATTTGCAATAGGGTCAAGATTTATGCCAGCTGGAATCTCACAGGATATCAGTCACATTGCTTTCTTCTAAGCAATTGCTTATGCTTACAAGAAAAGGAGCAGGAACATTGAAAGGAAAATGACATACTTAGCTTAGGGTTCTGCATGACAAATGGCTCTTGATAACCTTCCCCCGTCAATTCTGGGAGAGTAGACAAAAGCAAAGAAAACAAATTGACTACAGACATCGACATTCATCCTACTTGAAGAGAGAACCAGTCTGTGTGAAAAACAGAGTAAACTTCAAAAGAATCCAGCAATTGCCCTGAACTGACCCATAAAGAGAAATTAGAAATCGAAAGTTGAAAATTAGGAAGCTCAAGAGTGAATCTGAGGACTGATGTGCTCCACACATTACCTTCAAGACTGTTTAGTTTAAACAAAGTATAGCTCATTTCATTAAATGGTGAGTGACTGTGGTTTCAAAGTCACAACAAAGCTGGAAATACAGATTTCTCAAGTTGAAAGAATCGCAGGATTCCATAACATTGACCTCAGGTTGGGGGATAGGTTCAGAAAAAGGGGTAAAATTTGCTCCACTTTATTTTTTTAAGTTCCGGGGTACATATGCAGGTTTGTTAAATAGGTAAACGTGTGTCACAGTGGTTTGCTGCACCTATCAACCCATCACCTAGGTATCAATCCTAGCATGCATTAGCTCTTTACCTTAATGCTCTCCCCACCCCCACCCTCCCCCGACAGGCCCCAGTGTGTGTTGTTCCCGTCCCTATGTCCATGTGTTCTTATCGCTCAGCTCCCACTTATAAGTGAGAACATGCTGTGTTTGGTTTTCTGTTCATGCATTAGTTTGCTGGGGATAATGGCTTCTAGCCTCATCTATGTCCCTGCAAAGGACACGATCCCATTCCTTCTTATGGCAGCGTATTATTCCACGGTGCATATGTATCACGTTTTCTTTACCCGGTCTGTCACTGATGGGCACTTGGGTTGATTCCATGTCTTTGCTATTGTGTATAGTGCTGCATGTATCTTTATAATAGAATGATTCATATTCCTTTGAATATATACACAGCAATGGGATTGCTGGGTCAAAATTTGCTCCACTTTCACTTTACTATCAAAATTAGAATGTTCTCAGAGCATCACAGATAATATATAAGAACATTTCTAAATATGGAAGGACATTTGGTGTTTACCTCATCTGCATGCATCTCATAAGAATTAAGAAAAACATCCGGAAACTCAGGAGCCTTAGAGTGGGGTTTAAAAATGGCAGGGTTTACTCTGAGAATCCCCTTACTAAGACTTAACTTCAACAACGCACTGCTATTCTGGTTCTATTAGCACAGGTTTCTGCCTCCTGTATTTTTTTCCTCATGAAATATTTCTTTTACTTCCAGGACAATGGTTGGATTCTGCTTCATTAGTAGTCAATCTCAATGAATCTGTTCCACATATTACCTTCAAGGTTATTTACTTTTTCTTCTCCAGGACACAGGTAATAACATATCTGACTTTTACACAGCCTGATTTCAGCCTTAAGTACCTCTTTTGTTAATTAATTTTATTTTTATTTGCCATATTCCAACCCATGAGAAGGGATAATCAATATGATTTTACCTTAAGATATTTTTAAAGTTGTAAACAAGCCCAATAGAGAGTGACCTTCAAAAAGACTTTTATCTTAAGGAGACCAGAATTTAAGAAGCAAGACAATGTGAAATTTCCCAGGTTCAATTCCCTCATCAGGTTATACAGAAAGAAAACTAATGACTGAGTTATCATTAAGGTCAGCAAGGACCTCTATAGGAAACATACGTTGCAATTTTAGAAACCAAATACTATAAAAATCTTCTTTCTCATTTCATCAGCGCAATTGTCCTTTTGGCAATTCAAACTTCAAAGACGTAATCATTATTTAAAAAACACATTTGGTTAATTAAGTCAAACAGTGATTTAATTCAATGACAAATTCAGTTGAATTATTTTCCATTGTATAAATAAAATAGCTGGCTATTTAACAGAACTTTCGCATTGTATAAATAAAATAGCTGGCTGATTGACAGAACTTTTCATTTTCAACTGGAAATACAGGCATCATATATAGGTACAAAGCTGGAATCGAATGAGCTGATGATTACTTTTTGAAGATTATGAACATTTCATTCTTTCCACTTAAAATCACTAAAAGAAAAAAGTCTTACATGCAACTGCTATCACACACCTGTCACTTTAACACTACAGAAAATGTCAGTATTTTCTGTACCCAAATTATGTTCTTTCTGCCCAGAATGCACTTTCTTGGAGTACAAAGAATATTCCTTAATGGTTTATATTGTTTTATAAATTCTTCTGTTCTACTCATTTATCCTTCCATTTTTACTGTTTTTTTTCTCTGTTTTACATTTTCAGTGCTTAGAAAAATCAAATAGAAAAGCCACCAAGCTTACCATTTCAACCAAGGATAAATATAAGAACATCCCAGCAGTGACTGTGAAGATCCAGTCTTGAACACATGGATCAGCTGACACGGAAAGGCCAATGTATAATCCCATGAAGGCAGTTAGGGAGCTTATAAAATTCATCAGGATGGCAGTCTTCATAGAAAGTCCAGAGCTTAAGAGCACGGCAAAGTCTCCTGAAGTTTAAGAGGAAAGGAAAATATAATTATCATTTAATGGAAGACGCCTTTGCTAAAGTAACGCACTATTAGCTATTTCGAATGTCAGCACTGGAACCAATTTTATAGGTAGAGTTGAGTGATCAGTAAATAAAATGCTTTCCTATATTTCTCTAGAATTCATAGCCCATTCATCGTACTATTAGGAAGTTGCATTTCAAGAGTTCCATTCCTTTGGCTGCTCCTAAAGATTGTATCTACAGAGAGGTCTGTGACATATTCTTGAGTTCTTGATATCCTCTGACATTTCCAACTTAGATAAATGGAAAATAGTCACTCACTGTCCCAGGGTTTCTAAATCTTTGGGCCTGGAAATTTGCCAGGTGAAATCATGACACTATATGGGCTTTTATTATTTACTTATGCAGAAACTGCTGTGGGGAGAGAAAACTACTTAATATGAGATTTTTAAAGCATTGTAAAAGTTGGTTAGGAAACAAATTTTTCCCTTTAGAAAATGATTATAGGAAAATGATCTCATTCTCTCCATGCCTTCCCTCCAAGAGAAGATTGACCTGTTAGTAAATCTGAGAACATCTACTTCTTAGTTTGGGGGATTGAGACTAAAATTCAATAGACAGCTTGGGGACCCAGTTTTCTAGTTCCATTGCATAATTGTTCCCATGAACGGGGCTTGAAACATCTCTGCTGGCCTGCTGCAGACGGTCACACTGCCCTGTGGCTTTGGGTTGAGGACTGGGGGCTACATCCCTGTTACAGTAGCAAAACTCAGGACCACAGATAGGGGATGGCTTCCAGACCAGGTGCACTTTAATGAGCCCAGGGAGGACCTTGGATAAACTGCTCCAAGAAGGATAGGTCAATAATGAGTCAGTGTCAGGACTTTGAGCAACGGACTCCAAGCACAAGAGGGCAAGCGTTTCCTAGGGGCAATGTAGGTGCGAAAGTGGAAGCAGAGAGACTGCGAAGAGCCCTCTCCCTTGGGAGCCTATGCCAGACCAGCCTCTACTATTTCTGGGTCTGTTTCAGAAACGTCTGTTCTAACCCATCTTGCGTCCTGGGAGGCAAAGAACAGGGCTATATTGTTCTCACTTATTTGTGGGATCTAAAAATCAAAACAATTGAATTCATGGAGTTAAAGAATAGAAGAAGGTTACCAGAGGCTGGGAAGGGTAGTGGGGTGGTAGGGGAAGGTGGAGGTGAGGTAAAGATGGTTAATCACTACAAAAAAAAAAAAAAAAATAGAATGAATAAGACCTAGTATTTGATAGCACAACAGGACGACTACAGTCATCATAATTTAATTTGTACATTTAAAAATAACTAAAAGAGTATAATTGGATAGTTTGTAACACAAACAATAAATGCTTGAGGGGATGGATACCCAATTTTGCATGATATGATTCTTACGCATTACATACCTGTATCAAAACATCGCATGTACTCCATTAATACATACAACCACTATGTACCCACAAAAATTAAAAGAAAAAAAGTTACAGGGCAACTAAGATTATCCAGAAAAAGAGATTTATGAGAATCTGCCACCACACACCTGTCATTTCAATGCTAGGCTTGGCTTTAAACATTTTGTATAAGTCAGGTTGATGAAACCATGGTTTGGTTTTTTGTTTTTGTTTTTGTTTTTCTTTTTGAGATGGAGTCTCACTCTGTTGCCCAGGCTGGAGTGCAATGGCTCAGTCTCAGCTCACTGCAACCTCCACCTCCTGGGTTCAAGCGATTCTCCCACCTCAGCCTCCCAAGTAGCTGGGGTTACAGGCCTGGGCCACCACACCTGGCTAAGTTTTTGTTTTTAATAGAGACGGGGTTTTACCCTGTTGGTCAGGCTGGTCTTGAACTCCTGTCCTCAGGTGATCCACATGCCTCGGCCTCCCAAAGTGCTGGGATTACAGGTGTGAGCCACTGCGCCCGGCCGGTTTTAATTTAAATGTTATTTTATCTTACTGGCCCATGTGCTGACATGATGGATAAAGTTCCCCTCCTAATATTTTTCTCACATTTAATATGCAGATTTTAAAGTCCCCATCAAAATTCTTTAAAATATTTCTCTGAATGACTGTCTCCCATATGGAATTCTCTGGAATCCAAATAGAGTCATTTCTGGCCCTGGGAAACATCATAAAGGAGTTTAACTGGATTTTATTCCAAGGTACAGGAGTTATTTTTCTAGTCCTCCTCTTCTTATGGTTTAAATAAATTATAAAAGGAAAGTATTCATCTTTAAGTCATAGGTTAGAAAAAGAATCCTAGTAAACCATAGCTGGAAAGATGTTATTTCTTTCTCAACAGGCCAGAAACAGTAATTCCATTGTTGAACTTACCCATTTCATGTGGGATTTCATGACACAAGATAGCAATCGTAGTGGTCACTCCTGACTCGGATGATGATGAGAAGGCTGCTCCTATGGCTAGGCCATCTGCAAAATTATGCAGGCTGTCCCCAACCAGAATCATGATTGCTAACAAGCTAATGGCTTTACCTAAGGAACCAAATAAACACAGAAGAAGCATTAACAGAGCACTACATATTTCACCAAATCCTTCAAAACCAACCAACCTTCCCACCTACACTTGACATTCTTATATTCCATCTGATTAAATAACATCACTTTGTTTCCGCAAAAGTCAGGACTAGAGATTCAAGTGTGATAACCAACACACTTAAACGTATGGTCACTGTTTTGCTAACTGGTCTAATGAGATAAATTACATGCTGGCATAAATGATTTTAACATCTTATGCAGTTATGCCAACACAAGAAAGTAAAACCCATGTTATAGCCTCCCCAAGTACCACTGATGACCTTCCCGTCTGTCTTTTGCAATGCATTTAAAAATAATTTAAGAAACTTGCTATAGACTAAATGTTTGTGTCTCTCCAAAATTCATACGTTTCTACTTATTCCCCTAGCGTGGTGGTATGAGGAGGTAGGGCCTTTGGGATGGAATTAATACCCTTATAAAAGAGATGCCAAGGAGTTCCCTTGCCCCTTCTGCCACTTCCCACTGCAGGAAGGCGCCATCTACAACCAGAAAGTTGGCTCTTGTCTTGCACCTTCATCTTGGACTTCTAGGCTCCAGGACCATGAGAAAGAACTTTTTGTTGATAAGCCATCCAGTCTATGGTAGTTTGTTGTAGCAGACCGAGTGGGCCAAGACAAACTTCCCAGTGGAATGTCATTAAAATGGAGTGTATTTCCCAAAGCTGTTCATTTGAGTCAGACTGTTCTGTGTCAATCTAGGGCAGTGTGCTTTCTGTCACTGTGTGATTGTTTTGGTTCCCTTTCTGGTGAGTGCTAATGACTTCCCTGAAGCGCCCCATTCACTCCCCATTGTGACTTCAACGGAACCACGACCAACGTTTCTGGCCCCAAAGTTAGCTTTGGAATAATTTCTCAAAGTTTTCTTCTTTCTGCAAGATAACTTTCAGCACTAGGCCAGTTACATGTTGAACAAAATAAAGAGAAGCTTCTGTCTTCATGGAATTCGATTGCATAATATATATCATCTGGTCAGGAGAGAGCCAATGAAATAATTTTGATCATAATTGGGTTCAGCTTTTTAATGGACAGAACTTCTGTTCTGAAAGTTCTAAATTGTATGTTAGCATAACTCAATTGTAGAGTTGAACGACTCACAAACATGAAAAGTATATTGAGCATAGTACTTATTTTGGTAGTAATCTGCCTAGGTAGACCACTTGATAAGAAAAGTCATTAATCAATTGTCATAGTCTAAACTTTCATTAATTATTCAGTTGCATATATATTGTGTGACAGGTGTAAGTAGTAGTTACTGTTACTGTTAGAACTGAATGCATAATGCTTCCTTTTTTTTTTTTTTTTTTTTTTTTGAGATGGAGTCCTGCTTTGTTGCCCAGGCTGGAGTGCAGTAGCATGATCTAGGCTCACTACAACCTCCGCCTCTGTGGTTCAAGCAATTCTGTCTCAGCCTCCCGAGTTGCTGGGACTACAGGCACATGCCACTATGCCTGCCTAGTTTTTTTGTATTTTTAGTAGAGACGGGGTTTCACCACATGGTCAGGCTGGTCTCGAACTCCTGACCTCCAGTGATCCACCCGCCTCGGCCTCCCAAAGTGCTGGGATTACAGGCGTTAGCCACTGCACCTGGCCTAATTCTAATAATTGTGCTCAATAAAAATTCTAATTATTCTAATAATTGTGCTCAATAAAAATTCTAATAATTCTAATAATTGTGCTCAATAAAAATAGAAAGAGGATACTTCCTGGTTTCGAACTGTTACATGGCCTAAGACTACAAGGGGGATTGCATTATAATGTGGTTTGCCATCTTATTTGGGGAATATGATTTGATTCATATCATATCCCACACTGTGAGATAAATAACTTCAGTAAATACCAGATATAACCCAAATTACCGTCTAGGAGATAGCTCCATTTACTGTGTTTCAAAGATGGCCTGTGTATTTTACTTCTAAAAATCATGGGTATTTAGAAATATCACTGTAGAACTAACTTACATCCTTCCTGTGGTTCACTAACTTATTTTAGTCCTTGCTAAAAAGGGAAAGATTTCAGGCAACAGCCATAAGAACAAAGAATAAATACTGAATTCTTGAATTCAGGGAGTTCTTATTGACATTGCCTGGAAACTCTCAGAAACCAATAATGCTACTAGATCATTTAACTGCTCCTGCCAATTTTCAGAGATAAAGCTCTTCTTTGTGAAAGGAAATTTAAAAAAACTTAAAGTGATACATTTGACAACACTGCAACATGCAAATAAACTTGTAATTTCCACATGCCTATATGTAGCCTTGATATTAATAGCATATATTCCAAAGGAGGATTTTTAGCCAATATTACACTCTGCTAGAAACCAGTGTGGCCTATTTTTGCTATTATTTTGTTATCTCTGATCATGGGTTTCTAAATGTCAGATCGTGGATAGGTAACAAGCCACAGGCAAATATAAACATTTGCATGTAAGCCATAAAGAACACACTGTGTATATTTCTTAAGGTAATTTAAACATTATTTAGCGGGAGGTTGAGGCAGGAGAATCGCTTAAACCCAGGAGGCAGAGGTTGCAGTGAACCAAGATCGTCCCACTGTACTCCAGCCTGGGTGACAGAGCGAGTTTCCATCTGAAAACAAAAAAATTATTTAGTGGAAGATAAGACAAGTATTCACTGGTAATTTAATGTACTCATTACAGAATTAAGTATAATATTTTACCTCTATTCATGTACTTGGCAGTCATATTGAGTTCCATGTTTCTGAGCTATCAGAGGTTTTCCATGGTAAAACATGGGGGCTGGAAGTGGTATCACTGTGCTTTTTTAAAATTTAAATCAGACTGTGGATTGAATTTTTGCATCTTGTCTTTGAAACACAAGTTGAGTTCCACGGATGAGGTAATACAAAACAAGTCATCAAATATTTGAAGCTTAATTCAGTATGTCCCTGGCAAAGGGGCAGTTGAGTAATGTAATATGGATATGTTCACTATTCATTCTGCATGCCAAGCTCGACAGGAAGTAAGCAGGTAGGTAAGAGGCCTATAAAATGTTTGAAGAAGACCATCGTTACTCCCTAATCTAGCATCCTCTTTCAGCTCCTGATTTGACTGGGCATGTCCTTCTTTCAAGACCACAACCAAAGAGAAAAAAAAGTCTATTGCAGACCTACTATGTGCCCAGCTTTCTAAAATTACTCTTGGAACTAAAAGTTTAGAAGGAAAAATATTACTAGCAATGTTCTAAAAGCAGAAATGGACAAAATATGTAATTACATATTTTGAATCGAATAAATAAATTACATGAGTTAATGTATCTAAAACATTTAGAACAGTAGTTGTTATAATGGTGTTTGGTCTTAGTAGTATTTCTATCCCTGACTACATCCCAAGCTAAGAATAAAGACCATGCTTATTTTATTCTGCACTGATAAAGATCATGCTTATTTTATTCTTCACTGCATAAAACATGCCTGAAGCAGGACATGTCTTCAAACATTTCTTGAATGAATAAAACAATGTGAAAGAATGCATTGATGCATGAATGAATGAATGGTCACAAAAAAATTGTTGGTGCATTAGCATTTCTTTCTTTTTCTTTTTTCTTTTTCTTTTTTTTTTTTTTTGAGACGGAGTCTCACTCTGTTGCACAGACTAGAGTGCTGGAGTGCAGTGGCGCGATCTCGGCTCACTGCAAGCTCCGCCTCCCTGCAAGCTCCGCCTCCCGGGTTCACGCCATTCTCCTGCCTCAGTCTCCCGAGTAGCTGGGACTACAGGAGCCCGCCACTACGCCCTGCTAATTTTTTGTATTTTTTAGTAGAGACGGGGTTTCACCATATTAGCCAGGATGGTCTCGATCTCCTGACCTCGTGATCTGCCCGCCTCGGCCTCCCAAAGTGCTGGGATTACAGGCGTGAGCCACCGCGCCCGCCGGTGCATTAGCATTTCTTTAGTTCCCCAGCGCTAGAGCTGACTAGCTATATAATCTTGAGCAGTGATTTAACCTCGCTAACAACTATTTTCTTCATTTGTATAATTCAGTTAATATTTATTCTTACTTAAGTTGTAGAATTGAATGAGATCACACCAACTGTGTAGCCCTGTGCCTAGCATACAAGAAGTGTTCAATACGTGTTAGCTATTTTCACTATTTGCTAAGTTATTACGGTAGAATGGGAATAACTAATCATGATGCATAACATTAAAACCTTAAGTTTGTGTCACAAAAGTGTAAAATAAGTGAGAAAAATAGGGCAAAAGTTCAAGAGTAACAGATGAAAACCAAAACAGACAAAAAAATCCGAAAAACTTTCAAGAATTATTCAGAAACATAAGCACAGGTTAATAAAGTTCTATCCAAAATTGGTAAATTAAATGCAGAAGAAAAAAATCATAGAAAAAACATCAAGCTTTGTTAATTAAAAATTAAATGAACAAATGAGTTATAGAATAAGATGTGAATAAATGAGATCACTGATTTGAATTCTACCATCTCAATGACAGTATGATAAATAAGACGCATTTGTGATGAATTTTCAGTAGACAGTGCTAGAAGATGAAAAAACAATGATATATCCATACTTCACAGTGAAATAAAAGCCTCAATCATCACACAAATATGTTTAGAAATGAGCTATGATAAACACACATGTGTTTACATTAATTGAAGTTTCCCCTGAAGGGAATTAGTTTAAATCAACTAAGAAAAACTTCATTTTTAAAGGAAGGAGTAAAATTGATATGAATATGTAGTCAATTTGAGAGCTGGATAGGAATTAGTTTTTATTACAAATCCTATTGCAAAGTTTTTCATAATAAACTACATACCCAATATGATATCTATATAGTTTTGACATTTTATTTTAAAACAGACATAACTGTTTTTCTATGGCACTTTCCACATGTAAAGTTTAGCTTGGTACTCACATTTTCTGTTGGAGGCTGTCATACTGCCTATAGGCATTTCAGCTGCCTGTGAATCTTCTGGGCTTTTCTATTTTAAATTAAAAAATAACTGATGAAAGATAAGTAATGGCCATCATTTTGTTGAAAAATGAAACATCTGGAGAGTTACATGGGTTTTTAAAAGACATTTTAGTACTCTAGATGTATATTAGAACCTCAGGTTTCATAGACACACACAATGTAGAGCTGAAAGTCTGTGGGCAAAGCAAGCCTTTTGCACTCTTCATATTTAGATGAAAATAGCACTCTCAGGTAGATCAGAATCTTCCATAGAGAGCTGAAGGCTGCTGAGACAGTCTGTAATTCAGACTCGTAAATTATGTAAGCCTTTATGAAATTCAAAAGCTATCGAAAAAAATTATTCTTGGCCTAACTCAGCACTTCTCCTGTATGGTGGATTGTGGACTTAAGATCCATCCTCTAACCTGTGAGCAGTCGATGTATTTTGGATGGAAAAGACACCCATGCAAATTCAACACCTCATTTCATTCACTGCAGCATAATATTCTGTGTTAACTGCTTTGCCAGTCAGTAAAAGAATCTTGCCCATTAAGAAAGTAGATCCACCCACTTATAAAAGACAACAATAATAGATTCAAACATTTTTTAATCCTTTTATATGACAGAGAAGTGAGATTTTGAAATTGACTTTATGAGGTAAGATTACGTGATTTTATTTCAGAGACTGACTCACAGACCAATTTCTGAAAATATATTTTCCGTCTTGGCGCCTCTGATTTCAATTCTATAAAAAAACTTTTTATCTGCATATTAAATATGTCCTTTTAAAAGCATATGCATAGAAGTCTATCTCCCAAAGTTGTACAAATTTTGACACAAATGTAATGAGATAAATGCATTTTGTGTGTGTGTAAAAGAGAGAAAGTAAATTTTACACATTAGTAAAGTTCACGTATTAGAATAATAGCAGCTATTCAAAAGATAATGATAGGCTGTTTTTGGAGAAGGATAGCTGAGAAGTAAGGTAGAGCCTGTAGGATACAGAGAGCAGGAAGTAGACCTCTTACTTGAAATTGGGAGGATATAGAAACAAAAAACATTGTGATCCCTTTATGTTATATCAAAAACCTAATTGTAATCACAATGCTTTATAGTTCTGTGAAAATACAGAATTCAGATATTTATTCTAGAATGTTTTGTCTTGTTTTTCAAAAAAAGCTATTTATTGTCACATTATGTAAAGTAATTTAGAGCCAAACATTCAGGACTTCTTATTGATTGGGAAAAAAATGTACATTCTTCTTTATCCTCGAGTTTCTTGAAAAAACAAGAAATTAAACTCATCAAACACTCCTAAAAGTTTATACAATTTCTATTATGCTTTAGGTCAAATTGCAGCTTAAATAACAAGAGGAATTATGCGTATATTAGTGAGCTGGAGTGTTCAAATAGCTCAAGACTCACTAAGGTACCTTCAGAGATTTGGTTATATGCATCTTGGGGCTCTGGACACTTCAAAGAGAAGGAATAAGGTCAGTATTAAAGAGATTTTTAAAACTAATCCCACCTGAAGTTATCTTTTTTCAAACCACATTTAGAATGTCTAAGCAATAAATACAATAAAGGCTCTTAAAATCGTATTTTAAAGGAAATTTCTGGTTCCTATCTCTGAGTTAGCACGAGATCTGAAATCTACTCCCAAACTTCTATTTTGCTATGTCAATGTCTCAGGAATAGCCTCCTCATTTCTACTGAGGAAGCTGTCCTTACACCGTAAACTCTTTACCCTAAGGCCATGGTTCCAGGAGGCAGGGATTCTAGCAATTATATATTACTTTCATATTTTTCCCATTCCTATACTTCTTACTTAAAGCATTTGAATGGGAATATTGTTTTGAACATGATTGGACATTGTGCTTTGAGAATTAATATAGAAGATTTTGTTGTGGAAAATTTAGTAGAATAAAGGCACATACTATGAAACTTCTCATTGGACAGAATCAGTTATCTCCTGCATTATGAAATGAACTCCCCAATCCTAGGTGCACTAAGTAATCCCTTGCTCCACATCTGTTTTCATCCACCTAGTCATGGCTAAGGATTACTCAGAATGCAAAGGCAAAGGTCAACTGGTTTATGAAAACTTGTAAACACAAGGATTAAGGACGTGTCTATGATGTCAGTCTGATCCATACATGTTTGACAGTGATGCAGACAGCAATTACGTGAATCTGTGGAGGGTGCCTGTTGCTCTTTAGAACAGCTTTCAGGTGCTTGGCAGAGTTTTCTAAACAGTATTTATCACAGTTAAGAACCGGCAAATCAGGAGTATGAAATCTGTTTATCTACCCTACTGATTTTCATTTGTTCATTGAGGAATAAAGGAGAGAAGGTAATCAGATCAGTAGAATGCTTCAGATCAGGAACCTACCAACTGGATAGTTGAAGCAGATTTGCCTCTGCCTGCCTGGTCACTTAATTCAGAGTTGAGTGCAAGATGGTGGGAATGACCCACGTGCCCATTAACCAATGACAGGCCCTGCTGGATGAGGATGGTTTAAAATTAGTGTTGAAGCCAGAAGAACACAGGTGTAGTCTTTGTCAATGCCACGGTTCCATTCCATTGCCTATTGGCCAAAATGGTAGTTGCCACAAAAGAGAACTGGGATGCTTTAAGAATGGAATGCAACTTCAAAAATGTCTAGTGATGACTGAAGAAGGCTTGAATAGTGGTAGTTTTTACACTGTCTTTTTATTTACTAAAAAAAGTTATATTTACACAAAATTAAATTTTAAATTCTTTCTGATGGAGATACCGCAATGATAATAATCAAAACTGTATTGTACCCTGTGACTACTAAAACAATGTCTCTGGAAATGTATTCATCAAGTAAAGCATTTGCAGTTCCTAAAACATACGTATTCCTTTTATTTTAGGCAATATCATAAATCTTGGAATTATGCTCTTAAAACTCATTTTAAGTTCCCTGACAAGCCCATAAACAATCTGAATAAACTCTACATTTTTGGATGTTCAGAATTTCTTTCACTCATTACCACACTGGATTTCTAACTACTGAATTACTGGTATTTTGGCTTTCTAATTTAGTTTTCCCAACCCAGAAATGTTAATCCATTGGGTATAAGTGGGGATTTGTTATTTTTTTAATGCTTCTTGGGATTAGAACTTCTTTTGTGAAAGGAAAGTTCCTAAACTTTTAGGGTAAGTACTGTAATAGAAATTGGCATTCCTAATTTCCAAATTACCATAGCATCCTAGTTTGGGCCCCAGGCCAAAGAAAAGTCCTGCTTTATTAGAAAACTTTTACAGAAGTTGACTTGTAGTCTATTTGAATTCATGACCTCTATTTATTGCTGAAAAGATTTCAAATATATAGAAAGCTGAAAGAATTGTATTGTAATGTAAATATTGAGCTATCCACTTCCTTGATCCTATGATTATTTTATTAAATCTATTTTATCATGTAGCTATCCATCTATCATCCCTCTATCCATCCATAAATTCATTTTATTTTTTGATTCATAAAACAGAATTTTGAACAAATTTAGGAATGAAAAACAATAAGTGCTATGCTATTTATTTTTTCTTTTGTTTTTTTTTTTTTTTTTTTTTGAGATGGAGTCTCGCTCTGTCACCCAGGCTGGAGTGTAGTGGCGCGATCTCGGCTCACTGCAACCTCTACCTCTTGGGTTCAAGCAATTCTCCTGCCTCAGCCTCCCTAGTACCTGGGATTACAGGCGCGCGGCATCATGCCTGGCTAATTTTTGTATTTTCAGTACAGACAGCGTTTCGCTATGTTGGCCAGGCTGGCCTCAAACTCCTGACCTCAGGTGATCCGCCTGCCTCGGCCTCCCAAAGTGCTGAAATTACAGGCATGAGCCACAGCGCCCGGCCCATATCTGTAGACATTTATCAGCTACTGGTATAATAAAAGAAATTACTAAAGCTGAAAAAAAGATTTGCTGCAAATTTCAAAATTCCTAAGACGCTTGTTTTTGTAATTTTAAATGCCTTTAAGACAGAAAATTACATGTGATTTTGTGAGTTTTCAAAGTTTTTGTTTGCTTATTTGTTTAGGTTAAGAAAGATATCCAAAACGCTGATTAGTAGCTAGAATGTTGGGCCCCTTCATTCCCCAGACATAAAATAGTCCCCAGTTCCTAAACCAACCATGAAGGTTGAACAAAAGGTCTTAATAAGTACATTAACTGCCCAGGAATAGATATTTTAAAAAATTAATATCCTATTAGAAGGAGCTGTGTATTCTTGAAATCAGCATTCCATTAGACATCCCTTACACAGGCAACTTCATTACTTTTGAACAAGTACTTGTGAAGGAACAGATGAATGTATTATAAGACTTTAAAGCACAAGACAAATAAAACTTAAAAATATACCTTGTCATTTGGTGATACAAGAAGAATAAAACATTTTTCTATCAAGAAAAATCCATGGATGCCTCCAATTAATCCCATCAGTTTCCAAATATGACCTTTGCTTTCATGGAAATGCCCAAATTCTGGGGCTTCCTGCTTATGTAAACCAAGAACCTTCAGGGGAAAAAAAAAAAAAAAAGGCAGAGAGAAAGATGGAGATAAGTCTTGATGACTTAACTATTAAATAGTAGGCCCAGTGTTGAATATATTTAATTTTCATTCTGGGAAATGCCGTGACAACTATTAATACAATCACTAAAAGTCCAGTTTGCTTTTGGGTATGTGAATGCTTCCACTATACACTTCAATCAGGGTCAAATAAATTGTGTACAATAAAAAACAAAAGAGAGCTTTGAATAGCTTGTGCTAATGAACAGAATGAAGCCTAAGCTTTATTTCTGCAAGTGCCCTAGATTTTCACACAAACTCAGTCCTTCGGCCAAATTGTTTTTCAGGAGTCCAATCTGCATCTGTTTGTACAACCATGCCTCATAAAATATTAATAAATTTTATATTTCATCTGGGGTTTATTCTCATGCCCCATAGCAATCAAAGTAAACTTTTATTAAATATCAGATAAGTAAGAAATCCACCGTGAAGAACTTGTTCCTTTGGGAGCATACTGTATGACTGACAATATTGTCAGGTCTCTGGGACACAAAAGGGTATGAGAAATGTGTTGGGAATTTTTCTGTAACTGACTCATCCCATTGGTTGAGTCATTCCATTGGTCAACCTCATGATTTCTTGTGAGCCAGTAGATCATTCTATACCATATCCCTTCTCTTAGAGAAGGCAATTTATGAAGTAGCTCATAAATGGTTTCCAGATTTAGAATGTTACTATTAAATTTTAAAAAGGAAAAAGAAATTATATGTGTATAGATTATATGTATATACATTCATACATATATGTGTACAGGCATTTATGTGTACATACATATATGTACGTGTGTATATGTGAGTATACATATGTATCTACATATATATGTTGTGTATGCAAATATCACTAAAAACCAATATATGTTAGTCAACTTTTTCTCTTGCTAAGGGCATTTAAGGATACCCACCTAATACTTCTAATGACCATTATTGCACAAAATAGGGAACATTTGTAATATCATAAAACAAAACAGAAGAAAAACCCCAGATCTCAAAATAAAATGTAGATCTTTCAGTTGAACAAATTTAGCTGACTAAAAAAGGCAATCACATGAGTAACATTTTTCTCACTTCTGTGCAGACGTTTGAAAACTTGCCACAGATCACTGATTCTTCTAGCACACCACCACACTTGTCCTGCATCTTTCTTCCTCTTTCCAACAACTTTCGTCCTCGTCTCTTTTTTTTTTCGTGAGACAGAGTCTCGTTCTGTTGCCCAGGGCAGTGGCATGATCTCGGCTCACTGCAACCTCTGCCTCCTGGGTTCAAGCGATTCTCCTGCCTCAGCCTCCAGAGTAGCTGGGGTTACAGGCGCCCACCACCACACCCGGCTAGTTTTTGATTTTTAGTAGAGACGGGGTTTCACCATGTTGGCCAGGCTGGTCTCAAACTCCTGACCTCAGGTGATCCGCCTGTCTTGCCCTCCCAAAGTGCTGGGATTACAGGCGTGAACCACTGCACCCGGCTCTTGTCTCTTTCCTTAAGCAAAAAAAAAACTGTCTACAAAATTTCGGGAAACCCAGCTAATCTCTGAAGTTCTCCTCTGTAACATGTTGCACCCATCCTCAAGTCCACCTTCGCTGTGGGCTCCCTCACTGGGGGAGACTCAGGCTGACCTGAGAGCCTTTTTCTGCTTCCCAGACTCCTGGGCAGTAAACAATTCTGCTACCGCTGCTGTGACCTAGAAAAAAGGCCTGGGCCGCCGCCTCTACTCAGTCATAAGCCCTGAAATATTTCCAGGATATTAGATTATGAGGGCAATTAAAACTCATAATGGTTTTATTTTTCCAATGCTCCCTTTGTGATTTTCAGAACATTGAATAACAATTGAGCCTCGAAGCAACAAGAGTGACCCTGCAGGAAACTGCCAGAGGCTTGTGGAAAATTTTAACCAGCTCAGGCTTTGCTGGAGTGGGGATCATTGGTCCACCATCATTATCCCTGGTAAGAGATTTCAGAGGGAAGAGAACACCTCATCTGTAGATGACCTCAACTCAGGTTTTACTCCTTTCCTTTCTGAAAAAGAGCCTCAGCACACGTCAACAGGAGGCAGCCTCCTGGTGCTCACCTGCCCTTAAGAGAAATCTAGACACTGTTAGGCAAGAAGGAGAATTCCACTGTGATGGCTCAAATAAAGAGACATGAAAGATAAGACTATTACAGAGGTGGGCAGGGTCAAGGGTATAAAGAAAGGATAATGAGGCACCCAGAGACTGGCAATCGCAGGAAAGCATTGCCAACCTTAGGGGTGAAAGGGAAAAGGGAGGAAGGCCAGTGAGCCGTGGAGCTGTGGGGAAGCTGTCCACTGGAGACGTAGCCCATGGCAAATCAGCCACTTCTAGAGCGGACGCCGGAGCCAGGAGGGAGCTGGGCACAGATGCCACTGCCTCTCTCTCCTCCTCCTCTGAGTTTTCCATTGTGCCCCTCATTGGCTGACCCCAAACAAAAATCCAACCTGCAAGGTAGCTGAGGAGATGCAGCCTTCTGGGCAGAACAGAAAGAAGGACAAGTGAATTAGGCCATTTTTGTGTTGCTATAAAGAAATATCTGAGGCTGGATAACCTATAAAGAAAAGAGGTTTAATGGGCTCCTGGTTCTGCAGGGTGTACAGGAAGCATGGTGTCAGCATTTGCTTCTGATATGGGCCTCAGGAAGCTTCCAATCACAGTAGACAGTGAAGGGGAAGCAGGCACATCACATAATGAGAGAGAGAAAGCAAGAGAGAGGGAGACGGGGAGGTTCTGGACTTTTAAACAACCAGGTCTTGGGTGAACTAACTGAATGACAACTTTTTCTGAGACAGAGTCTCGCTCTGTCACCCATGCTGGAGTGCAGTGGTACGATCTTTGCTCACTGCAACCTTCGCCTCTCGAGTTCAAGCGATTCTCCTGTCTCAGCCTCCCGAGTAGCTAGGATTACAGACGCATGGCACTATGCCCAGCTAATTTTTATATTTTTAGTAGAGATGGGGTTTCACCATGCTGTCCAGGCTGGTCTCGAACTCCTGATCTCAAGTAATCCACCTGCCTTGGCCTCCCAAAGTGCTGGGACTACCGGTGCATGTAACATGTGCAGCTAATTTTTGTATTTTTAGTAGAGATGGGGTTCCACCACATCGGCCAGGCTGTTCTTGAGCTCCTGGGCTCCAGCGATCTTCCCGCCTCAGCCTTCCATGGTACTGGGATTACAGGTGTGAGCCACCGTGCCCTGCCACCTTTCCTTTGTTTTATTTCAAAAATACTACTACTATGTGGCGAGCCTAATGTTGGGGCATCTCTTCTCTTCTACAAGTGCAGAGAGGCCTTGGGGAAATAATATTTCTTTTTAAGGAAAACACCAGCCACGATACTCTCTCTTTGAAGTCTCAGTAAAATTTTGCATAAATACCTCCAGTGGTTAAAAGTGAAGAGCAATGAAGTGAACTTTATCTGAAATGGAAAAGACCAGATTACCTGAGGGATAAGGTGGAGCAGAGCGTCCCCAGACAGTGTCCCGACGGCCAAGCCCACAAACAGCTGTAAGATAAGCCTGTAGTTCTCCTCACAGCTATGGAAAAGGACCAGCGCTGTCCCCAGCATGGAGCCCAGTGTGAGAAGGGTGACAGCCACCGTGCTGTAGCCGTATTCTAAGTCAAAGGAGATCGTAAACACAGTCAGTGCCCAGTGCCCTCCATTCCGGCCTCAGCTGGCGAAAATGCCAGAAGAATTGGTCTTACAGTAACAGCCAGTAGGGATATGGATTTTTTAAATAAGTGTTTTGTTTTTATTTTGAGACAGGCTCTCTGTCTGTCACCCAGCCTGGAATGTAGTGGCACTATCATAGCTCTCTGTAGCCTCCACCTCCTAGGCTCAAGTGATCCTCCCACCTCAGCCTCCCAAGTACCTGGGACAACAGGTGCACACCATCATGCCTGACTCATTTTCTGGTATTTTTTGTTTGTAGAGATGGGGTTTCGTCATGTTCCCCAGGCTGGTCTCGAACTCCTGGACTCAAGCAATCCACTCGTCTCAGCCTCCCAAATGGCTGGGATTACAGTTGTAAGCCCACTGCCCCCAACTTGGAATTTTTAAATAAGCGTTTTGTTGTTTTTGTTGTTTTTGAGACAGGTTCTCACTCTGCTGCTCAAGCTGGGGTGGAGTGGTGTGATTATAGCTCACTATAATCCTGAACTCCCAGGCTCAAGTGATCTTCCCACATCAGACCCTCGAGCAGCTGGGACTACGGGCAGGTGCCATCAGGCCTGGCTAAGCTTTTATTTTTAGTAGAGATAGGGTCTCACTGTATTACCTGGGCTAGTCTCAAGCTCCTGGGCTCAAGCAATCCTCCTGCTTCACCTCCCAAAGTGATGGGATTACAGGCATAAGCCACAGCACCCAGTCTTATAAGTGTTATATGCGGCAAAAAGTTTTTAAATTTTTAACAAAAAGAATGAACAGATTTGCTATGGTCTAAATGTTTGTGTCTCCGCAAAATTCACATGTTGAAACCTAACCACCAAGGTGGTGGGTGGTATTAGGAAGTGAGGCCTTTGGGAGGTGATTAGAACATATACTCTTCACCCCTGTTGAATGGGATTAGGGTCTTTACAGGGGCTAAAGGGACTGGAGTTCTTCCCTTCACCAGTCCATGAACCAGGAACGAGACCCTCACCAGATGCCGAATCTGCTGATGCCTTGATCTTGGACTTCCCAACCTCCAGAACTGTGAGAAATAGATGTCTGTTGTTTACATAAGCCATCCGTTTGTGGTATTTTGTTACAGCAAGGACTAAGACAAGACTTTCTTCAAATAACCGTGTTGTTTTGAAGTTACTCTGACTACCCCTTACTAAAAATTATTGCAGCAAGCAAGGACTGAGCTCACCTCCAACCCTCAAAGAAATAAATTTCTCTCACTTGAAACTACAACATCCACAGACAGACACTAGCAATAATTTCCCTTTAATCATATCTTAAGCTTCTCAAAGGCGAAAAGACTAGCTGTTACATAGGAAGCATAAGGTTTGGCAGTATTGTAGACCTATGTTTGTGTACAAAATGAGTACACGTTTTGGAAGAACTTCCTTCCAAAAGCTGTCTGAATTATTTGCAATGTCCAGGGTGATATTATTTTCAGTGACTAAAATGAGTGTTGTTATTGGTGAAAACTGATCAATGAATGTGTAACAGTCGATAATAAAAATCTGAACAATCTACATTTTGGATGATTGCAATGACTTTTATAATCCTTAGAATTTCATGTTTCTAGGCTTCCTTTTAAAAAAATATTTATAAAGTATAATTTGTAAGTTTATTTGAAAGAAAAAATATATATATATGAAGGGAGAAGAAATAAAGGAGAAAAGGGAAGAGATAAGATTAAAAGAGAGGGAGGAAATGACTTTCAGAATCAAGTACAGACAACATAGAGATAAGGAGTTATCTATGGCATCATTTTCATCTGCTTGTAGATACTCAAAGCAAATGCTTATTTCTCTACCTATTTAGAAATTACTAACAAGTGATGGCAAACTAGTTAGTAAACAATGAGGAAAGCTAATTATGAAATTAAACTACCACTTTCTTCAGTGACTATGGATATACAATAAGTTAAATCAAACAATCCTGGTGTCAAAATACCTAAAGCTCATTGCAATTTTTTTGAAAAAAAAAAACTATCCTCTTAAAGTTTCTTAAAACAGAAAATATTTCATTCTCATCATACTTGCATTTTTCTAAAAGGTTCATTCTTTAAATTAGATCATTTTATTTTATTTTTATTTTTGAGACAGTCTTGCTCTTTCACCCAGGCTGGAGTGCTGTGGCACAATCTCAGCTTGCTGCAACCTCCACCTCCCGGGCTCAAGTGATTCTCCTGCTTCAGCCTCCTGCGTAGCTGGGACTACAGGTGCCCACCACCATGTCTGGCTAATTTTTGTATTTTTAGTAGAGACGGGGTTCCATCATGTTGGCCAGGCTGGTCTCGAACTCCTGACCTCAAATGATCCACCACCTTGGCCTCCCAAAGAGCTGAAATTACAGGCATGAGCCACCATGCCCAGACTAGATCATTTTAATAATATAACTGGTAACAGAAAAATAGGCTTGTGATATTAAGAGGACTTTACTGAAACGTAAGTTCTAAATTACCCAGGGGTTTAATATTAAAATAGAGTTGGCAGTATACTCAGAAGAGGCAAAAAACTTTTAAGCATCTGTTCCCGTACCCCCACTACCACATTTTCATTGCTATGGAATCCCTATAAAATGGTTTACAAGCAAGGTGAAATGAAGAGTTGTTCTTCTATGGGTATAGAGTTTTAGTTTTGCAAGATGAAAAAGTTCTATTATCTATTGCACAACAATGTGAATATACTGAATTGTGCAAATACAAATGGTTAAGATGGCGAACTGTATTTCATGTGTATTGTTCAGACACCTACATCGTCGTGTCTTTTATCATTCTAATGTAACAAAAATACTCATGTTATAGAAACTTCCCTGAAAATCTTCAACTAAGTTTCATATCCCATTCTTTCCCACACAGACTCTATATGGGAATGCCATTCTTTTCATTTATTACATAAATTAAAGATATTTGAATAGTAACATGAGCACCTGGATGTTTAATAAAATTTACAGCTGTCCCATTTTAGAAGTGGTAACTGCAAAAGACCACAAAAGGCCAAGAAAGCACAATGACAAATCAGGGTACAACATTTCCCAGGCAAAAGGCAAAGTTGAAACTTCTTTAGTTATTTTGCTACACCCCAACTCTGTGGGCTTCTACCCATGCAGACAATGAATGTTTCATAACTTCAGAGGTTAGCAAATCTTTTTAGATTCTCTATGAGTCATATTTCACTTGCTTTCATGTAGGAACGACAGCCTCAAAACCATAAAATATCTGACCTGTGGTCACAGGACTCTGCTAATTTACTGCAGGTCCCTGCATAAGTGCCATGAAGTCTTGATTGGCATCAGGCAACTTGCAGACAGGTTCTAAAGTTTCCCATTATTACAACAGAGCTTGACCTAGCCACTAAATTCTTAGCCACTTCTGAGCAGCTACTCTGAATAGGTCTGAAACTTAATTTGTACATGGCCATAATACTCTTTCCTGGAAACTTAATCGAAGATGGTGCTTAGCGGTTGAGTTTCAGCATACTGAATGGTATTTTCTTAATAATGTCTCCCCGAGTCTTCCTCCCTTCAATATAATATCATATATTTCTATAATTTCCAAAGAACTTTTGAAATTAAAGCTTTTCCCTATTCACATAATGCAACATTTTCGATTGAGGACAGTGATGTTTTTCTAGGTTTTGTTTTGTTTTGTTTTTTGAGATGGAGTCTCTCCCTGTCGCCCAGGCTGGAGTGCAATGGTGCAATCTTGGCTCACTGCAACCTCCACCTCCCGGGTTCAAATGATTCTCCTGCCTCAGCCTCCCGAGTAGCTGGGATTATAGGCACCCGCCAGCATACTCAGCTAATTTTTGTATTTTTAGTAGAGACGGGGTTTTACCATGTTGGCCAGGCTGGTCTCGAACTCCTGACCTCGTGAGCTGCCCACCTTGGCCTCCCAAAGTGCTGGGATTACAGGCATAAGCCACTGTGCCCGGCCTAGGTTCTTGTTTTTAAGACAGGGTCTCTCTCTGTCACCCAACTGGAGTGCAATGGCATTGTCATAGCTCACTACAGCCTTGAACTGCTGGGCTCCAATGATCCTCCCACCTCAGCCCCCCAAGTATCTGAGACCACAGGTACGTGCCACCATGCCTGGCTAATTTTCGTTTTTGTAGAGATGGGGTCTCCCTATGTTGCTCAGGCTAGTCTCAAACTCTCGGGCTCAAGTAATCCTCCTGCCTTGCCCTCCCAAAGTACTAGGACTACAGGTGTGAGACACTGCACCTGGCCTTTCTAGAGTCTTTTTTTTTTTTTTTTTTTTTTTTTTTTTGAGATGGAGTCTCGCTTTGTCGCCCAGGCTGGAGTGCAGTGGTGCTGACCTCGGCTCACTGCAAGCTCCGTCTCCCAAGTAGCTGGGACTACAGCCGCCCACCAGCATGCCCGGCTATTTTTTTTTTTAATTTTTAATTTTTAGTAGAGACGGGGTTTCACTGCGTTAGCCAGGATGGTCTTGATCTCCTGACCTCGTGATCCACCCGCCTCGGCCTCCCGAAGTGCTGGGATTACAGACGTGAGCCACCGCGCCTGGCCCCTTTCTAGATTCTTTAGTGAGTGTGACATGTTGGGAGGTTTCCCAGGAAGACTATTCCCCAGAAGTGTCTAGAAGTTCATTCGAGAGGAGACACAATTTTTTTCCGAGGCCTTAATTTCAAAACCCTTTTCCGAGCGGCCTGTACATTCCGGCCCCAAGCCAGGTGGTAGGAATGTAAACTGCCCAGGGATGCTCCTAGGTGCCACAGTGCTGTCTTCATCCATTTTCTGAGCCTCACTGAATGACCACCAAGTGCTGAGTTATTTGGCTGCTCACTATTAATGAAGCTCTTTTTCTCTTAGTGAATGTAGAATCTTAGATATTTAGGCCTGGCGTGTTTTTGTTCACATAACATTTTCAATTAGGCCACTTGATGTTACAGAATCCACTGTGAGTTAGAGGTGGGTGGCTGAACAACTCAGCTATGATTGCTATTGCAGGCTCTCTCAAAGAGAAAGAAACACAGCTCTGAGAAAATAATACATCTAAGGCTCTCAGATCAATGGTAAGCTAATTGTCATATTTTTTACTAGATAACATGGATGTTCTCAACCATTTGTTTTGTCTTTTAAATATACAGAGCTTTAAATTTACTGAAGATATTTTTGTCCACATTATCCCATTTGAACCTTACAGTTCAAGGGCTTCACAGTGAAGCCCTTGGAGAGATCTCATCTATTGCAATGACTCAGTGGGATACAGGTAACTGTAAATATTGATCCCTTCCCTTCCTGGGGCTGACAGCTACATCTGGGAGGCTGGTAGCTCCCAGCATGGGTCACCTTCATCCCACAGCAGCCCAGTGAGCTTTGGTTTACTGTAATGTGTTTTCATTTTTTATACATGCCATGATGTGAGAAAGGCAGCCCTATAGGATATCACTGCTTTCCACTGGGCTGGAAAAGAAACAGTCTTGGGGAGAAATTGCTAAAGATCACAAAGTCTCTGAGGAAAAAAAGCATGACTCAGCTCTGCATTCCACATTCCAATGCTATTGCCTTCTCTTTTACCATGTCACCTCTCAGCTATGGCCTTTTATGTTGATCCATGATTGAGTCAACTATAGAAGACATAATTAATTCATATAAACCATATACAAATATAAAATATTCATTGAAGAGTAGTATGTATCGTGGTTAGAAACAAGGACTCCAGGGCCAGCTTGCCTGGGTTTGAATGGCAACTCCATCACTTCCCAGCTGTGTGTCCTTGGGAAAGTCACTTAATCTCTCTGTGCCTCAGTTTCCTCATCTGTAAAATGGGAATAATAATATCTACCTTGTAGCATTGTTAGGAGGATTAAATGAGCTGATAAATGTAAAATGTTTACAACAGAGCCTGGTATATAGTAAGTATCCTGCATTTACTATTATTATTGCATACATTGTGCACATCAGCTTTCTGAAGGAAGATCCAGAACTTACTCTCCAGAGTGGTAGGTGGCAGCTTTGCTTGTTGGTCCTTGGGTAAGTGGCAGGAGCAGCTGAGGAGCTGCTGGATGATCCCTGGACTCATTTGCTTAAAGTCCTCCTTAGAAATGAGTGAGAGGCCCTTCTGTAGAAATATCTCCACCAGCTGCCTAGCAGAGAAGCAGGTCTGTGTGAGGAAAACATAACATTGTTACTAATCTCAGCATATTTAAACTAGATTCTCCACCAGTTGTCATCCTTGAGGAGTGAATTCTAGATGGAATAGCGAGAACACACACATGAAGCCGGTACGACACGTGTTTCCCTGCAAACTTTCAGCTGTACGTAATTCCTAAGGATGTCTTAAATCTCTGACCAAAGCCTGCAATACCTCATTTTCATTCTGAGCCTTATTTAGTATGAGTTTTGCACAGTTTTTCTTTCCTAGAAAGACACATTGTGTTTTACAATGTGTTGAGTGGTGTTCTAACCAGCAGCCTTAGGATGTCCTGATGTTTTTGTTCTTTTTCAATGAGGATAGCTTTGTGTTAAAAAAGACTTCATACAATAAACAGAAGTCCTATGGTAATGAGGTCACTGTCTTTCATACTGTTTGATTTAGTCAGCCTGTGTAGGCAACGTGTACTTTTAAAAGTCCTAAAAGTAAAGGTAAAATTTTTGAAAGTAAAGCTATGTCAACTAGCTGCTGTGTAAATACCAAATGATGTAGCTACCTCTCTCAATTGGCATAACCCTTCTCCACAGAGACACACACACAGTTGAAAACATCATTATTTCTTACTGACTTTACTGATTTTTACCTAAATCTTTACAATTTGTTTTCATACTGTATAGGCATATTTATGAGAGAGAAGAATAAGGAAAGAACAAATGCCACAGTCTCTAAAAAGGGCCAAAAGACATTTGTCCATCTCAGAATAAAGGTTGACGTTGTGTACTTCAAAAATTACAATTTAAAAGTTTTAGTAGGTGAGTGAGAATGACGGGTAGTTTCACTCTCACAAATGGATGTTTTCTATTGAAATAAGACCCCAATGCAATGTCTTTGTGATCTTTAGTTGCGATCAGTAAGGTATTGTTTTAAAAATCAGTGGTTTGCAAAGCTGATTTGGTTTGCCACACTGTATAGAGATTTTTTTTAATGAAGGCACTTTGTTAATCTGTAAATAATGATGACATAGTTGCTGTTTGTCTTTTTCCCCCACATAAAAATCTTTAGAGATGATTTCATGGATACAAAGTTTTATCTTGATCAGGAAATATTTGGGTGCATGGAACAGAACCAACTGAAATCAGAAAACCAAGAGGAAATTGTATTAGAAAGGCACAGATGGTCTCAAAGAACCCAGGGATTGAATGAATGCCCACACTTCATAAGGAATGAGAACTTGAAGCTGGGAAATCAAAGATGCATGATCTTTGCCCACAACCTTCTTCCCACCCGTGCCCTCCTCTCCCTCCCTGAGCCAAGTATTTTCTTTTTTCTTTTTCCCTCTGCATATATCTACTTCCTTTCACAGTTTGGCCTTCTCTCGTAAACTCACAGCCATATAAGCCCCAACTCTAAAGTGACTTTTCACTCCAAGAACCCAAGAATGCTGCATCTATAAGTCCTGAGAGAGATCTGATTGATTCAGCAAAGCCACAGATGGTGCCTCTTGGGTCAGGCATCCATTTAGTTCAATCAGTTTTGCCCAAGTAGTAGGAGATGGAATAAAGCTGTTCAAACATGGGTGCCAACCTCACTCCTGTGGGTGAGGAAGGCATTTCTCAGTAAGGGATTGGGCAAGAACTCCAGAAATTTTCTGCTACAGAAAGCATCCACAGAAAGCTAAACTTGTGTTTTTTTTTCCCTTTATCAAAATAATGTATGCCAAAGACAAGATTCTCTTTTGCACCACTTGTTATTGACAGAATGTAATTATTTCATCATCAACAATATTGACAAAAATAAAGAGACACTGGCAACAAACTTTTGATGATAGTTTCATAATACAATTCCTATCAGAAAATGCCTGACTGGTAAATAAAGGAATGGAGAGAGAAACAAGAAGAGAATACCATGCATCTTTCTCCAGTTTGTTGTCAAGAAGTCGAATAGTTTCTAGTTTTACAATACCTTCTCAGAGAGTAAGGTTATTCTATTACAAACTTCTGCGCCCTTGGTCTTCGCTTGCTGCTCTTGTGCCATTTAGGTCATTAAGTAAATTTCTTCTGAAATCACTAACATAAATGTCCTTACTGGGGACTCATTATATTCTATAAAATTTTGAACACAACATATTTTTTATAAAGAAAATGAAAATTTAGGTTATGCAGCCAACAATCTTTAAAACATCTTTATTCCTTCCTATGTAATTTTGAAATATGTTTGTACTTGTGTTGATGTTATCAGATTTCTACAGAAGCTTTACAAACATATTCAAAAGCAGTGGTTTCTAATCTTTAGTTTTGAGAATTACTTGCAGGGCTTCTTAAAAGACAGAGTTCTGGGCTCTACACTTGGGGTTTATGATTCAGTAGATTCTGGGTTGGGGTCTGAGGATGTACATTTCCAACAAGTTCCCAGGTGGTACTGCTGCTGCCCACAGCCCTTGGAAAGGCCCAGGCACAACCCTTGGAAAATGATCAACCTAATAATATAGGCAGAGTCCTCAAATCTGGTGTCCCACGTTAGGATACCATCAAGAATCACAAAGAAAGTCACACGTTGGAACAGAGAAGAATTATTGGAGAAGAGGTTGTTGTGTGTGTTTTGCACAGAAAATGATTATTGGCATTCTTAGAAGATGCATGCCTTAAGTAACCCCTAAATGTTAAGAAATGAATTATTCTTTATTCAAATAAGGTCTCCATGAAGAGACCGTATTTGTTCTCTTCCTGAGAGTTGGCCCTAATTAAGGAAACTTCACAAACATGGATTAATATGGAGATCAACTCTTGTCACCTGCAGTTGAATACAATAAACATGAGTCTGAAAGAGTCAACTTCAACAGATTCCTATTATACATGGCAGAGGTAACAGAAAATAACTTTTAAGATACATAATAGCAAAAATATGTGCCTATTTTTGTTCAACATTGTATCTCTCATGCCCAGGATGATTAGCGGTGTGCATAAAATGCTCAATATGTTTTCTGAATTATTAATTCACTCAATCTGAACCCAAGGGAGGAAAAAGCAATATATTTCATTCCCCTATATACCTTGGCTTTGTTTTTATGTCTACAGAGATACACTTGTAGAAAAAGAAAACCGTAACTACGTGGTGGAACTAGAATATTTTTACTTTTCAAGATAATACACAATACTCTTTAAGTTTTCTACAACTCTAATAAAACTTTCACAGCTGGGCTTCCTTTGACAGTAGCAAATGCTTGAATAAGAGAAACAATGGCAATACCTGATCCCAGGAAACTGGACCATCCTCAGACTCTTTTTCCATGGATGAAGAGAAATTAGAATAGTCCTGATCATGGGTTATTATGTTGTTTTGTTTCCTTTGAAATTGATGGATTTTCTCATTTTTGATACAAGTACTTCTGGTCCAGAGAGTGTTGAGGAGTTGGTCTAGTTCTAGAAATTTCATATAAAATCTGGTGTCACATAGAATAGATAAGTTCCGAATAGTCACAATTTCACATAGCTACAGCATAGATATTCCCTTACAAAGAATTCTTATCATTTTTTAAGCCCTAGAGATGACAGAATGGACATTTCCACCCACGAAAATGCCTTCCATTGCGTCAAGGATTTTCTTTTTCTATAAAAATGTAAATTAAAGATGAAACTGGCCTAATCCTTAGGAAATTATTCCCTGGAGGCATTATACATCCATCATAGATTAATTATTACTTTAGTTAAGTCAATCAAATTGTTTTCCTTTTAAGTGTATATGCAAAAGAAAGAAAAGCCGTGAAAGGGAGATAAGATTCTAGAAACAAACTAGATCTTGTTTTCTAATGCAACTATGGTATGGCAGTCAATTTAAAGATCACAGATTAGTTTCCCTCAGTATAGCTCTAGGCTTTTAAAAAATAATGTGTACAAAGAAGAAATAAACATAACAGTAAATTTATATGGATTTATACATCTTCTTACTTATGATTAAAACAGAATTTTCCTAAGTGTTATCAACAGTGGTAGAAAAAAAAAAAGCAGTCAATAAATACATCTCAGTATTTCCAGATGTTGGATTCAGCAAATACAGACTTTAAAGGAAATATTATGTTTAAGGAACTAAAAGAAATTATATTTAAAGAATTAAAGGAAAGTTTGACAATAAAAAATCAATAGCAATTTTTAATAAGGAAATCTAAATTATATAAATGTCCAAATGAAAATTCTGGAGTTTAAGAATATCGAGACAATAAGTGAAACAAAAAGTTCACTACAGGAACTCAACAGCATATTTGAGAGGGCAGAAGAAAAAAATCACTGAACATGAGTATAGATTAACAGAAATAATTCATTCTAAAGAACAGAAAGAAAAAAGAAAAAGAACAAGTGTTCACAGACTTGTAACAAGAGCAAGTATACCAATGTATATATATTAGCAGTCAGAGAAAGGAGAAAGAGAAAGGATTAGAAAAAATACTAGAGGAAATAATGGCCAAAACTTTCAAAATCTGATGTAAAAGCCTGAACATACGTGTTCAAGAAGCATATCAAACATCAAGTAAGATAAATACAAAAAGATTCACACCCAGACACATTACAGTCAAACTGCTGAAAGTCAAAGATAAAATCTTGAGGACCAGCGTGGTGGCTCACACCTGTGATTCCAGCTCTTTGGGAGGCCAAGGCGGGTGGATCACCTGAGGTCAGGAGTTCAAGACCAGCCTGGCCAACATGGTGAAACCACTTCTCTACAAAAAAATATATATATAAAAATTAGCCAGGCGTGGTGGCAGGCACCTGTAATCCAAGCTACTCAGGAAGCTGAGATGGGAGAATCGCTTGAATCCAGAGGGTGGAGGTTGCAGTGAGCTGAGATGGCGCCACTGCACTTCCAACCTGGGCAACAGAGTGAGAATCTGTACCAACAAAAACAAAAAACAACAACTACAACAGAAGATAAAATCTTGAAAGCAGCAAAAGAAAATGACTCATCACCTACCTGGGAGCATCACTACAATTAATGGCTGATTTCTTATCTAAATAATGGGGGACAGAAGGGTAGTGAAATGATATATTCAAAGAGCTACAGAAAAAAACTGGAGGAGGCAGAGTAAGATGGCAGAATAGAAGCCTCCACCAATCATCTCCCCACAAGGACACCAATTTAACAACTATCTACACAAGAAAAGCACCTTCATACAAACTAAAATTCAGGTGAGCCCTCGTTATACCTGGTTTTAACTTCATATTACTGAAATAGGCACTGAAGAGGCAGAAAAAACAGTCTTGAATCTCTGATGTCACCCCTCTCCCACCTCCCCAGTAGCAGCAGTGTGGTGCAGAGAGCATCTCTGGGTGCTGACAGTAGGGGGGCATGGCAATTTTGAGGCATTGAACTCAATGCTGTCCTGTTAAAGCAGAAAGGAAAACAGGACCAAACTCAGCTGACATCTGCCCATGGAGGAAGCATTTAAACCAGCCCTAGCCAGAGGGGAACCCCTGATCCTAGCAGTTAGAACCTGACTTCCCCCACAAGCCTTGCCACCTCAGGCTAAAGTGCTCTGGGGTGCTAATAAACTTGAAAGGCAGTCTAGGCCACAAGGACGGCGACTTTTACATGAGTCCTAGTGCTGTACTGGACCCAGAGACACTGGACTTCGACAGTGGGGCACATGACCTACTGAGACACCAGCCAGAACAATGCTGGTATTACCCCTTCCCTAACCCCAGGCTGCACAGCTCATTACCCAAAAGATACCCCTTACTTCCACTTAAGGAATGGAGAGGAAAGAGTGGGGAGGACTCTGCATTGCATCTTGGATACCAGCTCAGCCACAGCAGGATGGGGCAGTGGTTAGAGTTGCAAGGTCCTGTTTCCAGGTCCTAGCTCTCAGACAACATTTCTAGACATGCCCTGGGCCAGAAAGGAACCTGCTGCCTTGAAGGGAAGGACCCAGTCCGGGCAGGACTTGTCACCTGCTAACTGAAGAGCTCTTGGACCCTAAACAACCAGCAGTGATACCCAAGTACTATGTCAAGGTCCTTGGGTGAGGCTCTGAGATTTGCTGGCTTCAGGTATCACCTTAGCCACAGTGTGTTAGAGCACCAAGCAGACTCTTGGGGTGGGGGGCCTGAGATTCCAGGACTTGGCCCTTGGATGGGATTTCTGGACCTGTCCTGGGCCTAGGGGAGCCCACTGACCTGAAGGGTGAGTCCTAGGGTAGGCAGCATTCACCAGAAGTTGATTCAAGAGCCCTTGGGCCTTAAGGGAACATTGGCAGTAGTGTGGCAGCTCTCCCCATGGACCTGTGGTGGTGCTGGCCACAGAGTAAGGCTCCTCTGCCTTTGTAAAGGGAAGGGAAGAGTGAGAAGGACTACGTCTTGTGATTCGAGTGCCAATTCAGCTGCAATACGGTAGAACACCAGGTAGACTTCTAAGGTTTTGACTCTAGTTCCTGGCTCCTGTATGGCACCTCTGGACCTGCCTGGGAACTGGGGTAACTTGTCACCCTGAAGAGTAGAACACAAGCCTGGCTGGCTTCACCACCTGCTAATTGTAGAGTCCCAAGGCCTTGAGCAAACATAGCCGGGGAGTGGTTACAGTGGGCCTCGGGTGAGACCCAGTGCTGTGCTGGCTTCAGGTCTAACCCAGTGTGGTCATAGTGGTGGTGGCCACAGTGGTGCTTGTGTCAGTACACTGTCAGTTTCAGGTGACTCAGAACAGAGAGTGAGAGACTCCATTTGTTTAGGAGAAAGGGAAGAGAACAAGAGTCTCTGCCTGGTAATCCAAAGAATTCTCCAGGATCTTGTCCAGGACCAGATATCTGTATAAGTCTGCAAGAACTACGGTGTTAACAGGGTTTGGGGTGAAGATATAGCAGATCTGTATCCTAAAGCAGATACAGCATAGATCATACACCTAAGTCCTTTGTACTATCTGGAAAGCCTTCCCAAGAACAGTGAGTACAAACAAGCCCAGACAGTGATGACTACAATAAATACTTAACTCTTCAATGCCCAGACACAAACGAATATCTACAAGTATCAAGATATTCCAGGAAAAAAATGACCTCGCCGAATGAATTAAATAAGGCACCAGGCAACAATTCTGGAGAAACAGAGATATGTGACTTTTCAGATATAGAATTCAAAATGGCTGTTTTGAGGAAACTCAGTGAAATTTAAGATAACACAGAGAAGGAATTCAGAACTCAGATAAATTTAACAAAGATTAAAATTATTAAAAAGAACCCAATAATTAAAAATAAAATATTTTAAAATATTAAATAATTTAAAAATAATTTAAAAAATTCTGGAGCTAAAAAATGCAACTGGCATACTGAAGAATTCATCAGAGTCTTAATAGCAGAACTGATCAAGTGGAAGAAAAAATTAGTAAGCTTGCAAGACAGGGTCTATTTGAAAATACACAGAGGAGACAAAAGAATTAAAAAAAAAAATAAAGCACGACTACTGAATCTAGCAAATCTGAGTTATTGGCCTCAAAGAGGAGATGGGGAGAGAGATAGGGGTAGAAAGTTTATTCAAAAGGATAATAACAGAGAACTTCCCAACCCTAAAGAAAGCCATCAATATCCAAGTACAAGAAGGTTATAGAACACCAAGCAGATTTGACCCAAAGACGACTACCTCAAGGCATTTAATAAGCAAACTACCAAAGATCAAAGATAAAGAAAGGATCCTAAAAGCAGGAGGAGAAAAGGAACAAATATACAATGGAACTCCAACATGTCTGACAGCAGACTTTTCAGTGGAAAACTTACAGGCCACGAGAGAGTGGCATAACATATTTAAAGTGCTAAAGGAAGAAAACTGTTACCCTAGAATAGTATATCCTGTGAAAATATCCTTCAAACATGAAGGAGAAATAAAGATTTTCCTAGACAAGCAAAAGCTGAGGGATTTTATTAATTCTAGACCAGTCCTATAAGAAATGCTAAAGGGACTACTTCAATCAGAAAGAAATAGATGTTAGTAAATAATAATAATCACCTGAAGGTAAAAAACTCACTAGTAATTACACAGAAAAACACAGAATTCTATAACACTGTAACTGTTGTGTAAACTACTCCCATCCTAAGTAGGAAGACTAAATAATAAACTAATGAAATACAATAACTACAACAACTCTTCAAGACATAGACAGCACAATGTGATATAAATAGAAACAACAAAAAGTTTAAAAGTTGGGGGACACAATTAAGGCACAAAGTTTTTATTAATGTTCTTTTTGCTTGGTTTTTGTTTATACAAACAGTGCTAAGTTTCTGTCAGTTTAAAATAATGGATTATAAGATAGTATTTGCAAATCTCATGATAACCTCAAAACAGAAAACATACAATGGATACACTAAAAATAAAAGCAAGAAACTAAATCATAACACCAGAGAAAATCACCTTCACTAAAGGAAGACAGAAAGGAAAGAAAATGACCATAAAACAACCAGAAAACAAATAACAAAATGGCAGGAGCGAGTCCTCACTTATCAATAATAATATTGAATGGAAATGAACTAAACTCTCCAATCAAAAGACACAGACTAGCAGAATAGATAAAAAAAAAATAAGACCATTGATCTATTGCCTATAAGAAACACACTTCACCTATAAATACACACATAGACTAAAAATAAAGGGACAGAAAAAGATACTCCATGCCAATGGAAACCAAAAATAAAAGCAGGAGTCACTATCCTTATATCAGACACAATAGATTTCAAGACAAAGACTGTAAGAAGGGACAAAGGTCACTATATAATGATAAAAGTGTCAATCCAGCAAGAGGACTTAATAATTTTAAATATATATGCACTCAACACTGGAGCACCCAGATACATAAAGCAAATATTGTTAGAGCTACAGAGAGACATAAGCCACAGTACAATAACAGCTGGAGACTTCAACACCCCACTGTCAGCATTAGAGAGATCTTCCAGACAGAAAATCAACAAAGTAACATTAAACTTCATCTGCACTATACAACCAAATGGAGCTAATATATATTTACAGAACATTTCATCCAACAGCTGCAGAATAAACATTCTTTTCTTCAGCACATGGGTGATTCTCAAGGACAGACCATACGTTAGGTCACAAAACTAGTCTCAACATATTTTTTAAAAAATTGAAATAACATCAAGCATCTTCTCTGACCACAATGAAATAAAACTAGAAATCAATAACAAGAGGAATTTTTGAAAACTATGCAAATATATGGAAATTAAACAATAGCTCCTGAATGACCAATGGATCAATGAATAAATTAACAAGGAAATAGAAAAACGTCTTGAAACAAATGATAATGGAAACACAACATACCAAATCCTATGAGAAACAACAAAAGTGGTGCTAAGAGGAAAGTTTATAGCTATAAGTGCCTACATCGAAAAAGAGGAGATTTCAAATTAACAATCTAACAATGCATCTTAAAGAACTAGAGCAGCAAGAGCAAACCAAACCTAAAATGAGTAGAAGCAAAGAAATAATAAAGATTAGAGCAGAAGTAAATGAATTTGAAGGAAGAAAACAATACAAAAGATCAATGAAACAAAAAGTTGGTTTTGTGAAAAGTTAAAGAACATTGACAAGCCTTTAAGCAGACTAAGAAAAAAAGAAAAAAGATCCAAATAAATAAAATCAGAAATGAAAAAAGAGACATTACAACTGATACTGCAGAAATTCAAAAGATCATTAATGGCTACTATGAGTAACCATACGCCAATAAATTTGAAAAATCTAGAAGAAATGGACAAATTCCTAGACACATACAACCTACCATGATTAAACCAGGAAGAAATCCAAAAACTGAACAGTCCAATAACGAGTGATGAGATTAAAGCCATAATAAAAATCCTCCCTGTAAAGAAAAGCCCAGGACACAGTGGCTTCACTGCTGAATTCTACCAAACATTTAAGAAGCACTAATACCAATTCTATTCAAACTATTCCAAAAAATAGAGGAGGAGGGAGTACTTCCGAACTCATTCCATGAGGCCAATATTGCCCTAATACCCAAACCAAAGACACATCAGGAAAGGAAGGGGAGGGGAGGGGAGGGGAGGGGAGGGGAGGGGAGGGGCAGGCCAATATCTCTGATGAACAGTGATGCAAAAATCCTCAACAAAATACTAGCAATTGAATTCAACAATCCATTAAAAAGATCATTCATAATGACTAAGTGGGATTTATGCCCTAGCTAGGATGCAAGGTTGGTTCAACATATGCAAATCAGTCGATGTAATACATCACATCAACCAAATAAACAACAAAAATCATATGATCATTTCAATTGATACTGAAAAAGCATTTGATGAAATTCAACATCCTTTCATGATAAAAACCCTAAAAAATGGGGTATAGAAGGAACATATCTCAACATAATAAAAGCTATATATATTAGACTCAGAGCTAGTATCATAATGAATGAGAACAAACTGAAAGCCCTTTCTCTCAGATCTGGAACATGACAAGGATGCCCATTGTCACCACTGTTATTAAACATAGTACTGGACATCCTAGCTACAGCAATCAGACAAGAGATAGAAATAAAGGGCATCCAAATTGGAATGGAAGAAGTCAAATTATCCTTGTTTACAGATGACACAATTTATGTTTCACCTACACACACACACACACACACACACACACACACACACACACACAAACTATTAGAACTGATAAGAAAATCCAATAAAGTTGCAGAATACAACATCAACATACAAAAATCGGTAGCATTTCTATATGCCAACAGTGAACAATCTGAAAAAGAAATAAAAATGTAATCCCATTTACAATAGCCACAAATAAAATTAAATGCCTAGGAATTAACCAAAGAAATGAAAGATTTCTACAATGAAAATGACAAAACACTGATGAAAGAAACTGAAGAAGACACCAAGAAAATGGAAAGCATTCCATATTCATGGATTGGAAAAATAAATATTGTTAAAATGTCCATACTTTCCAAAGTAATCTACTGATTCATTGCAATCCCTATGACAATATCAATGATATTCTTCACAGAAATAGAAAAAACTACCCTAAAATTTATATGGAATCACAAAAGATCCAGAACAGTCAAAACTATCCTGAGCAAAAGAACCAAACTAGAGGAATCACGTTACCTGACTTCAAACTGTATTACAGAGCTACAGTCACCAAAACAGGAAGTACTGGCATAAAAACAGACACAGAGACCAATGGAACACAATAAAGAACCCAGCAACAAATACACACACCTAAAGTGAACTCATTTTAGACACAGGTCCCAAGAACATACACTGGGGAAAAGACAGTCTCTTCAATAAATGGTGCTGGGAAAACTGAACATCCCCATGCAGAAGAATGAAACCAGAACCCATCTCTCATCATATACAAAAATCAAATCAAATCAAAATGGATTAAAGACTTAAATCTAAGATTTCAGACTATGAAATACTACAAGAAAACGTTGGGGAAAATCTTGAGGACATTGGTCTGGTCGAAAATTTCCTGAGTAATACTCCACAGGCGTAGGCAATCAAACTAAAAGTGGACAAGTGGGATCACATCAAGTTACAAAGCTGCACAGCAAAAGAAACAACAAAGTGAAGTGACAACCCACAGAATGGGAGAAAATATTTGCGAGCTACTCATCTCACCAGGAATTAATAACCAGAATATACAAGGAGCTCAAACAACTCTAGAGGAAAAAATCTAATAATTTGATCCAAAAATGGGCAAAAGATCTGAATAGACATGTCTCAAAATAAGACATACAAATGGCAAACAGGAATATGAAAAGGTGCTCAATGTCACTGATCATCAGAGAAATGCAAATCAAAACTACAATGAAATATAACCTCACCCCTGTTAAAACGGGTTATAGCCAAAAGACAGGCAATAAAAAGTACTGGCAAGGATATGGAGAAAAGGGAACACTGGTGCACTGTTGGTGGGAATGTAAGTTAGTATGACCCCTATGGAGAACGATCGGGAGGTTTCTCAAAAAAACTAAAAATTGAGCTACCATATGACCAACAATCCCACCACTGGGTATATACCCAAAAGAACGAACTTAGTATATTGAAGAGATATCTGCACTCTCATTTTTGTCACAGCACTGTTCATGATACCTAAGATCTGGAAGCAACCTAAGTGTCTATCAATGGATGAATGGATAAAGAAAATGTGGTACATATACACAATGGAATACCATTCAGCCATAAAAAAGAATGAGATCAAGTCATTTGCAACAACATGGATGAAACTGGAAAACACTATGTTAAGTGAAATAAGCCAAGCACAGAAAGACAAACATTGCATATTCTCACTTATTTGTGGGATCTAAAAATCAAAACAATCAAACTCATGGACATAGAGAATAGAAGGATGGTTTCCAGAGGTTGGGAAATGTACTGAGGGAGGGGGATAGTTAATGGGTATAACAAAATTAATTAGAAAGAATAAGACCTATTATTTGATAGCACGACATGATAACTATAGTCAATAATAACTTAATTGTAAATATTAATATTAAAATAACTAAGAATATAATTGGACTGTTGGTAACACAAACAATAAATGCTTGAAGGGATGGATACCCCATTCTCTATGATGTCATTATTACACATTGCATGCCTGTAGCAAAACATTTTATGTACCCCATAAATACATACACCTACTATGTACCCACAAAAATTTGAAAAAAGAAAAAGAAAAAAGGATCAAGAATTTTATATCCAGCAAAATAATCCTTCAGATTGAAGGTTTAAAAAAGCCATTCTCAGATAAACAATGAATGAGAGAATTTATTGCTAGCAGACCTGCCTTATAAGAAATACAAAATGAAGTTCTTTAGGCTGAAAAGATATGACCAAATTTACCACTTGGGTAAAGTTCCCATTTTGATTAAGCTCACTTAAAGAAATGACCAGCACTGGAGATGTAAAAATGTGGGTTAATATGAAAGACTCTATAAATATATTTTTTCTCATTTGTTCTCTAAACTTAATGAGAAAATACTACGGGCTCCTCTTTCAAAGTCAGAAACATAATAAGGATGCAGATCATCCCCACTATTATTTAACGTTATATTGAGGTTATTAACCAACGCAATTAGATGAGAAAGTAAATAAAAGCATGAGAACTGGAAATAAATAGTCAAAACTATATGTATTTAGAGATAGTATTATATATCTGAAACCCCTAAAAATCATACAAAAATAATCATGAAGCAGGTTATAAAATTAACCTATAAAAATTAGAAACACACATGTATACATATGTGTGTATATACACACACACAAACAAAGATCAGCTAGAAGATAGATGAAAGAGGACCTCATTTAAGAAAGCCATAGTTTATACCTATGTTAAAGGCATAGGTATAAACATAACAACAAATGCCTACAATCTCTGTGAGGGAAATAAATAAATAAATATATATATATATATATATTTTTTTTTTTTTGAGGCGGAGTCTCGCTCTGTCGCCCAGGCTGGAGTACAGTGGCGGGAACTCAGCTCACTGCCAGCTCCGCCTCCTGGGTTCACACCATTCTCCTGCCTCAGCCTCCCGAGTAGCTGGGACTACAGGCGCCCGCCATCACGCCTGGCTTATTTTTTTTTGTATTTTTTAGTAGAGACTGGGTTTCACCGTGTTAGCCAGGATGGTCTTGATCTCCTGACCTCATGATCCACCCACCTTGGCCTCCCAAAGTGCTGGGATTACAGGCGTGAGCCACCGCGCCCGGCCTGGGAAATAAATATTTTTAAAAGCAAATTGTTCTGTTTTGAAGGATGCATGGCCACTGTTATTATTTTAAAAACTGTCAAAGTGTCAAGAATTTATTTTTACCTTCCCTTAAGAACCTCAATAAGATGAAGTAGTGACGAGGGGAAGTTTTTCTATTATAGGATTATTACGCTAGTAAGGAAGAAATGAGTGTTAGAAGATCACCATTTTATAAGCCCTAAATAATTAATCAATCTAGGCAACTATCATCAATAGCTTTTAACTTCTGAAAAAGAGATGACTAGGTGTTACATGCTTCCTAATGGAAGGTACTAACATAAAACAGCTAAGCAACCTTGTCAAGCCTCTACATATAACAGCCCCTACACAAGAAACACAGTACATAGAAATGCGTGATAGATGACTAGGACTGCAATCAGCAAACTCCATATGAAAACCAACCCCCTTTGTTTTTCAACAAAAAAAAACTTGCAACAAAATAGAAAAGATGGAAGAAGTGTGACACGTATAAAAGAAACTTGGACAAACCAACAATTTGCATTTTATGGACTTTATTTTGATCCTGATTCAATAAAAATAATTTTTTTAAATTATGAAAACATGAACACTAACTGAATTTTTTTTTTTTGAGATGGAATCTCGCTCTGTCTTGAAAGGTGGAGTGCAGTGGCGCAATCTCGACATACCGCAACCTCTGCCTCCTGGGTTCAAGCAATTCTCCTGCCTCAGCCTCCGGAGTAGCTGGGACTACAGGCACACGCCACCACGCCTGGCTAATTTTTTTTGTATTTTTAGTAGAGACGTAGGTTTCACTATGTTGGCCAGGCTGGTCTCGAACTCCTGACCTCAAGTGATCCACCCGCCTCAGCCTCCCAAAGTGCTGGGATTACAGGTGTGAGCCACCGCACCCAGCCTGAATTTTTTATGATATTAAGGAATCGTTATCAATTTTTTACTCGTGATAATGAGGTGCTTTAAAAAAATAAAATCCAACTGGGCACAGTAGCACACTCCTATAGTCCCAGCACTTTAGGAGGCCAAGGCAGGCGATCACTTGAGGCCAGGAATCAGAGACCAGCCTGGGCAACATAGTGAGACCCCTATCTCTACAAAAAATAAGAAAATTAGCTGGGCATGGTGACACACAGCTGTAGTTTCAGCTACTCAGGAGGCTGGAGTGGGAGGCTTGCTTGGGCTCAAGAGTTGGAGGTTACAGTGAATTACGGTCCCACCACTGCACTTGAGTCTGGGCAACAGAATGAGACCCTGTCTCTAAAAACAACAACAACAACAAAAATCCATCTCAGGGGCATTTTGGTGAGTATGTTAAGAATTAGTCATTTCATTTTTAATGTCTTCTCAAGTACAAAGAAATGTGCAAAACAAACATTCTAATTCCAGTTCTGACATCCTATTTCATCCTGGATCCCCAAAAAGCAGGTAAGGTAGTCAGGAATGCAGCAAGGATGGCTATTTCACATTACTTCTATTTGAAATTAAATGGCTTTCATGATTGCAAGGAAACTGCTGCCAAATGTCTTGCACAATTTAGAATACTATTCTTTCATTCTACACAGCAGTTTGTTAGGCCTGGCCCAGCATTATGTCCCAAATAAGAAACTATTCAGTTAGTATTTATGGCAGATCATAAAATCGCCTCCTCCCTTTACATCCACAATTCCAATCACTTAGAAATAGGCCAAGTCCATGTTTTTGCCTCATCACCGCATAGCTTTCATAGCACGCTTGCCTTGAAAGGCCACATAAGCTGTCTGACTTTATGACTCTATAAAAAATGGTATTTAAAACATACCTGAACGAATTCAGTCATCAAGAGCTTTGGCCTTTGTTTTTGGCATAGTTTATTTAGCAGGTGTGACTTGGAAGTTAAATTCGTGAAAACATCCTTACCTGATAGGCGGAGGGTATTCGTACGATTCAAGGAACTGAAAATATATTCTGTAAAGTAGTCTGGGGAAGGCAAGTTTCCTTGTCCCAGACAAACACCCTGGAGGGACAAAGTAATGATCATGGCTGCCAACTGAGGAAGCGTACTTTCATTAGCACCTTCACTGCTCACTATTCCAGATTTTTTCTGCAGCGTTTTGGTTTCCATACACTGAAATCAGATACAAAATAAAGAGAAAATTGTAACATCTGAAGTTATTTTGATTCTAACATCTCTGAAATTTCCCCCTAAAGGGATAAGGAATTGTTTTTCTAAAAGAAAATTGAATCATTTGAGGAATATGACTATCATCTTTCTCCTGTCTCAGATACAACTCTATTTGAAAATTATGTGTTTATCTACCATGGCACTGAATTTTCTAACCCTCATCTCACTGGTCCTTATTTATCCAGCTTTTCTCCCTATCCTTTTTTTTTTCTTTTTTTTAGACCGAGTTTAGCTCTTGCTGCCCAGGCTGGAGTAAAGTGGCACGATTTTGACTCACTGCAACCTCCACCTCCCGGGTTCAAGCGATTCTCCTGCCTCAGCCTCCTGAGTAGCTGGGATTACAGGTGCCTGCCACCACGCCTGGCTAATTTTTGTATTTTTAGTAGAGATGGGGTTTCACCATGTTGACCAGGCTGGTCTCGAACTCCTGACCTCAGGTGTTCCACCTGCCTTGGCCTCCCAAAGTGCCGGGATTACAGGCATAAGCCACCACACCCAGCCTGACTATCCTCTTAAAGATGTGTTTTCTCCAAGGGGAACTCCTGCTCTTATTGTTTAACATCCTTAAAACTGGTGGGTTGTTTCTCTCCCCGCTTTAAGTGCAACCTGCAGGAGAATGATTTTCAAGCTGACATTCCCTACCCTGACTTCACACAGGCTCTGCTGCCTTGCGTCATCACAGGGCCCCTCTACTTCTCATCTGCCTCTGGTCCCAAGCTCAGTGTGTACTCATTGCATGTCAAATCTGGTACACTGTCCATGTTCTTTGAACTCCCAGAGGACACAGGACCTTTTTCAAATATGTATATCAATTTTCCTCAATTAAATTATAAGCATGTGAAAAGCTCTAATTTTGCTTTATATCCCATTCATATTCCCATTCAGACATTTGAGTGCCTACAATGTGCCAGGCACTGTACTAAGCCCATTTCATATGAAGTGAAGGAGAAAATAAATTCATCAAAAGAGAGATCCAGGGAAGGTTATCGTGTCAAGGTTGCATTCTAATGGCTTAGGACAAGGAGAAAAAGTGCCCATTGAACTTATTTTTTTAAAGTCTGTAATTGAAGAGCTTGGCAGGAACATATTTACAACCATGGTCCAGAGCAGAGTGGAAGGCTAAGAATCAGTTACCAAAATTTTGATAAATTTGGAGAAGTAGCCAGAAGTTCCATGGGTGAAAAGAACAAGTTGAAATAACAGAGTTTGAACTTCACGGAAGCATGAGTGTTTCGTGCAGGCTGTGAAACAATAAGGGTCTCGAAACACCATAGAGGATAAAGGAGAATTCCAACCATTGTTCCCATCCCTGAAGTCCTTTGCGTGGGGTCAGGAACGCCCAGCCTCCATGCAGTAGGCAGGGCTACGGGAACACTAGGGAGAGATCCCTGTTCATTTACCATGGAATCAGCCAACAGTGGAGAGAATTCAAGAGGTGGGAACATTGAGAGATTGAGTCAGGAAGATAAAACACAGAGAGGTTTGGACAAAACAGATTGAAGGAAGGGAGAGATGTTGCTTTCTGAGCCATTAGGGAGCTTGCCTGGATTAGGGTATCAAGTTGATTCTCTTGGGGATCTTGTTGAGGCCCACTTGGAGCAGCCGTTAGTGACTTGATCTGTGGAAGCTGGGTCCCGTGCAGACCAAGACCTGGAAATTCAAGTAATGATGGGCCTGGTGAGCCAGAACCTCATCTGACCTCATGCCATCTAGTCAGAAAGAACAGCTGATGTGGTGAAGTGCCAAAAGCCTCCTGCAAAGTCTGGACTGATTGACTTCCTAGAGAATCCTAGTCCAGTTGAATGAGCTCATGGACCCTTCCCAGGAACTAGAGACAGTGGTGTCATCCAGGTGTTCACTGGCCTGAGGTGTAGCAAAGGGTTATGACTCAGCAGGTGTTGAACTCTTAATGACCGAAACTAGCTGGAAAAAGGAGTTCTAGATATAATACTGATTTATTCTGTTCTGGGGCTGCTTTATCTCAGAAATACTCAGAAGCCTGGGTATTTGCAGTATGTGTGGGATAACCAGAAACCTGGAAATACACACCACATCACCTTTTAAGTGCTTTTAAGTGCTGAGTTACCCATGAGGCAGTAATGGGTAGGATTAAAATGTTAGCAGCCAGTTTGAATCAAACTTGGATTACACAGATGTTGTACTGAAGAAATTATATGTAGGCACGCCTCCTGGTTTAGGTAGAAAACAGTTCTGTAAAGGAACCCCTTTTTCTTTTCTTTTTTTTTTCCTGCTTTTCTTCTTTTAGAGATAGGGTCTCTTTCTGTTGCCCAGGGTAGAGTATAGTGACACAGTCATAGTTCACTGTAACCTCAAACTCCTGGGCACAAGCCATCCTCCCACCTTAGCCTCCTGAGTAGCTGGGACTACCAGCTCATGCCACCACATCCAGCTAATTTTTTAAATTCTATTTTCGTAGAGACAAGGTCTTGCTATGTTGCCTAGGCTGATCCCAAACTCCTGGCCTCAAGTGATCCTCTTGCCTCAGCCTCCCAAAGTGTTGGGATTATAGGTATGAGCCACTGCACTGGGCCTAGGAATCCCTTTTCCTAAAATGAAAATAGGAATAAAAATATGGTCGCATTTTGAAATTAACAGGATTAGAGCTACAGATGTGAAAGTCACAAAGTCCTTAGCAAACAGCTTCTCCATTTGCTCTGCCAATAAAAGAAATTAAACATATTTACAGCAAATTAGAGGATATGTTTGCTGGTCGTTAAGCTTCAGAATGCCAGAATTGAGAGCAGGAACTAAATTTGTCTATACATGTTTATGAATAATTCAAAAAAAAATGATTTCCCCATACTCTTCAAAATGTAGTAATGGCTTCTCAATTAATTCTTTAAAAAAAAAAAAACCCGTGGCTTAAAGAAACCTTATGTTCAGAGAACTTTATCTGCTGAGATTTCCTGCTGCAAACCAGAAAGCAAAAACCTAACTGAAAGGCCAGTTTTGCTAGAATAGTAATGAAGGCAACAGAGACCAGGTGGGAGCTGGGAGAGAGGAGAGGCATTTGAATGGATCCTCTACACAGGCAGCACAATTCAAAACCACAAAGGGATATCATCTAGGGCTGGCAACCATGAGTAATGCTTTTTGCAAGCTGCTTCTTCAGTGAAATAACTAATGATAATTTATCACTTTCAAAATGTCTCTGCCTTCTCCTTTCGCAGCCAGAAGGCAAGGCAAATAGAAACATTGCTCTCCACCACTACAGCTCAGTCCTTGGAAATTGGTCAAAAAGCCTTGGGTCATACTGATTTGAGTGCTCAGAGGGACCCAGGAGAAGACAGCTGACCTGTCACCTGGACTGCCTGTCCACCCACCGAACTTCTGGCGAAAACTGCTCTTCCAATTAGTCATTACATTTCCTCTTTTGGACTCGGAATTTTAAATTATGTCATTTAACATCTCATAACCAAAACCCACAAATACTTACCTCCCTTAGAAGTCCTTGAATGTCTTAGAAATAAATAAGGAACAAACAATAAGGCTCTAGAACTGTATCTTAGCAGCAGAGCCAGTTAGCAATTTTGCCTTCTTACCTGGCTTTGAGAAGTGTCAAAGTACTGCCTGGTGAAAGCCAAGATATCTTCTGTCTCATTCTGTGAAAGGAAAGAGGAATCTTCATCCTGCCTGAGGCTCAGTAGGCTGTGTAGGTAAAATTTATACTCTTTATTACTCATGTTGAGCTTTGAAGAACAGATCTCTTCCTGATGAATAATGTAATAGAGAAGGAGAAGAGAAACTCTCTGGACCACTTCTTCTCTAAGCTGATCTTCAAAATTTCCTCCAGCTATTAGTAATAGTGCATCTGGTTCAAAGCACTGTGGAAGAAAACAATAACAACAACAAAAGAAACAAAGCTTAGCAAAATAGTTCCAGAACACTAATGACCACCAGGGTCTTCATTGCTTATCATTTTATAAACAGAAAGGAAAAGCAGGCAGGACCAATAGCCAGATTCAGAGAGTTGGACTCCCGCATAACAATGATGCCTGTCTAGGGAACCCCTTTTTTCCTCTAAGAATAATTCCTGTCTCCAACTAGATCGGCCACAAGTTGTTGATCTGTTGCCTTGTGTAAAACAGATTATTCTTTGGCTTTTAAAGTGATGCCCATTTGCATTTAGAATAAAATCCGAATTCCTTGCAATCTTCTTTTTGGTCTAGCTCCTGTCTACTCTACCCTCCTTCCTTCTCTTAGCCTTGGTCCAGCATCTCACTCAACTTCTGCCCCTGTGATTTTATGTCAATTTCACCAAATTCTTTCCCACAATCTTCCAGGTCTTCTTGTTCCCCTCATTTTTCAGGTTTCAGCCTAAATTGTCACCCTCTCACAACACCTTCCTAAAGATTCCCAACCTGCGTTCCCTAGTACAGAACTATCTGATAGAAATACAAGGAACACTGCAAATATGAGCCACATATGTCATTTGAAGTTCTTTAGCAGCAAGATTTTAAAAAGTAAAAACAGCTAAAAGTAACTTTTGTAATATTTTAACCTTATGTATCCAAGATTAAATTATTTTACCATGTAATCAAAATTTTTAAAAATTAAGATATTTTATATTTTTCTTCTTGAACAAAGTCTTTGAAAACTGGCGTGCATTTTATGCTTACCAGCACATCTCAATTTGGATGAGCCACGAATCAAGTGCCCAACAGTTACAAGCGGGCTAGTGGTTACTGTGCTGGACAGCACAATTCTGGAATACACCATTTAAAAATTTTTCTTCATAGCACTCGTATTGTAAAATTGCTTTGTTTACTTGTTTATTCTCTCTCTTCTCTATGAGAACCTGTGGTCCACTAACAGCAGATTTCGTCTGCTTTTTGCGTAGTTCTATCCTTAGCATATAGCACAATACCTGGCACTTAAGAGGTATAAAAATTTTACAAATGACTTCCATCTGCCCCTCTTCTATCCTATTTAGGGAAATTGCCAAAAATGATTTTGTTGAAGGGAATCAGAACATACTGCCCCAAAATATGCCACTGTAGCATATTGATTATTTTGAGCTGAAGGCAACTGACAAACAGCAGGTACAGGAAGGATTCTCTGCCTTTCGCCTTACTATCTAAAAGCAGGGCATAAGTTTCCCATTAGAAAGGTATCCTTGCTGTATCAGGAAGAGGAGAACATTCTTATCACTGGAGATGGGGAATTAATGCTGAGATGAACCTATACAAACGAACTTTACTAAAATAATCCTCCATTGGTATAATGTTAAAAAAAATTTTTGGTTTCCCATACATATTTCCTAGTCACTTTCCCACAATTTACCATCTCTAGTCCAAATTCACTTTTTTTCTTACTCTTGTCACATCCCCACAATTTATTACTCTTTGTTAAAATGGTATATAAACCCCTGGGTCTAACCACTTCTTTGGAGTTTTCACTTTTTCTATGATGCCCCTATTCCACATAAAAATATTAACATCAAATGTGTGTGCTATTTCTCCTGTTAATCCATCTTTTGTCCATTTCGTTCACAAGCCCCAGCTACAGAATTTAAGATGTTAGAGGAAAAGTCTTTCCTCCCCTCCACTGTGCTGCCTTATTTGTTTCACAAGCCACAAGCACATGCCCAGCTCCTGCAATCTGAGAAGTTTACTTGACATAAGGGATTCGGATAAATGTTGTGGGACAGTGAGAAAAAGACACAGGAATTGTGGACCAGAAGCTTTCTCAGCAAGAGGGAAGCTGCCTTTCTGCAGAGACAGTTGGGGAGCTCCTGAGAATTCTCACAGGATCTGAGAAGCAGCCCCACGACATAGCCACAGAGTGAAAGCATTGAGAAACGCCTGTCGTGACTCCCAGACAGATTTGTCCCATGGTGGGGATATTGTACTACAATATCTTTTAATCTAGTCTTCTTTGAAGTGGAAGTTTTGGGGGTTCTAATTCAAGGTCTGCTGTACAACCCACTGTGTAACATCTGCTATGTAATCATCTGAGTCAGGAAGAAACAAATGTCATCCATCTCCAAATCAAAGCATAATCACATTCTTCATAAAACCACACAGACTTTAATCTCTCCTGAACCCAACTGCAGGGGGTCAAGTACTCAAACAGAGGAGACCCAGGGGTTCCACTAAGACCAACTCTCAATGTGGATATTAGGCTCCACCTGTAAAACCTCAGCATCCCTTTTCTGTTTCCTAAGTAGCCCAGAAGAAAAGTCCACACCTTGGTAGCTGATGGCAAGGCTGACACCAAGACCCAAAAAGCGAATCCATTGAAATAAAAGTGTAATGAAAAACTTACACTTTTATAAAAAGTGTAAATAAAAAAATGGAAATAAAAGAGGTTCTTTGTACAAAATAGCCTCCTGAAACTAAACTATTGGTACTATTAGCTACAATTTGTTGGTAGCCATGTGCCCAGCAATGTGCAGAGTATCTTTTGCATTCAGTTATTCCTTGGTGCATAATCTAATTGGTTTTGAAAAATGCATAAAGTAATGAATTTTTTAATAAGAACCCTATATTATTATTTTAAGTGTGAAAAACAAAATGTCTCCAGCCTATGTAATAATCCACCAAATATTTCTAAATATTTGATTTTTATAATATAAAGCAACTAGAAGATCAATTACTCAATTATTTAATGCACAATGAATTAATGGATACATTTGTGTACGGTATGCAAGGATACTGCAAAGAACACATGAATTACACCTTTCTTCATGAGAAAAGTTTACTCATAGAATGTGTGAAAACCAAGACTAAAGCGGATAAGAAACTTGCCCAAAGCTACACAGCTGATGGTGGAGAGCACTGTTAGTCACAATTCCTGCTCTTCGAAGAACAGGACCCATTCTTTTATTCCTTCCTTTTGTGCCATGGAGAACACAGGCTGTGGACCCACTGATGTACTTGTTAGGCAACCACTTTGACCGGTAATTTTTCTCTCCCTCCTATTTGATGGGAGTAGAGGTCAGTTAGGTGGCTAAGAGATTGGTCCAAGTCTAACATCAATCAGAACAAGGACATGGTACAACGAGAGCGTTGAATGAGTTTATGTTATACTTTCAAGTGCTACTCAGGTTGTTTGATGGGGCTGGGTAGGTAGGAAGAAGAATGTCTATGATGCAAGGAGTAGGACGCTCATGGGGCCATGAGACCAGGGCAGGGCTTGGTGTATGAGCACATGGCAGAACATGTGACCATATTTCAACCCATCTGAGATGCGGAGACTCCTGTCCATGCATCATTCTTCCTCAGTGTCTTTGCCATGTATCTTTCCAGGGTTGGAATTGGAATGCAAGGCACGGAACAGCAGAGAGCAGGGTCCGCACTATAATCGTGTGGGTAGGCATTCCACAACTGTGTATAAAAGGCATACAATATGGAAGGTACAATTGGTTTCTGGCTTTGGAAAGCTTGAAACAGCTGTAGAAGCATCTTCTTTTGTCGGAACAGAGATTTTGGTAACCTTGAATGAACACGTGTTGCATCACATTTGCTTTGATTTTTTGAGGCCTGCTAAATCAAAGCTTAATTGTGAATCAAATGACCACGGGCTGGAAACCTTCCTCCCTTTTATAATATTTGAATCGTAAAGAATTTATTTTAATACAGAAGGCTGTGGCTTGAGGAAAGAATACAGGTGGAAGCCTCAGAAAAGCTAACATAAAATAAGAATTCTTCCCCTGGACATAGATATGACAAAAAGCTCTACTGGGGCTGTTGGATGAGGACAGAGCTGGAATTTTCAGTTCGACGCCACTAGATTTGTTTTGTTGTTAATGTTTTTAGAAGTTGGCTCAGTTGTGTTTGGGAGAGGATATTTAGCAAAATGTCGCAAATACTGCCACCCCACAGGCATCAAGATCTGTCCAAGGCTGCTGCCTCTGGTGAAGCAATTCTTTGTTTAAGAAGAATGGACTCATTCAGGAATAATCCATTGATTTTCCTTTTAATCTTGTCAGGTGGGGGAAAAAGGTTTGGGGCGGGGGGAATCTCATAAATTCTGGGAATTAGTTTTAATGACTTTATAAGGAAATAAACTTTGGGAAAAGACTGATTAAAATGCAAGGAGAGGCTCCCCTTTCAAGCTAAACAGGCTACTCGGACACTTGGTAGTAATTGTCCACCACATCCTGGAGCCACATCACATGGTCTCACCCAGCCTTGAAATTCAGCTTTGCTTATGATCTATGCCAGGTGAGAGCCTCAGCTGACAAAAAACAACTTGGTAGCTGTCTTCTCCTACATCAGTAAGACAGCTGTCAGGCCTCCAGGATAAACTTTAGGGGTTTTAGACTGAAAGATGTTTAACATTTGATTTTAAACAATGGGAAATTTTATATTATAGAAACTTGAGAACTTAAAAGAAGACAGTCTCTTTTAAGTTCTCAGGTTTCTATAAGGTGTTTTTTTCTTTTCCGGAGGTGGGGGGTGGCTAACAATTGATTGTAAATATAAGAGAGAACGTGTATGTGTTTTTTTCCTGACAAAGAGCTGGAAGGATGTTGCCGATGGCAGGTACTGGCTCTTTAGGGTCTGTACTAGATTTAGTGGGTCTTCTGACTGACAAGAAGTTTTTAACTGAGAAGAGTTAAGATGAAATTGTTAGATAATAAGACAAAGCTGGGTGTTTTCCACACTTTATTCCATGACAGTTATGTCAGGGGCTAGGGCCAGGTGTGAATTAAATGGAGACCCTTAAAGCAGTGGTTCTCTGCTTTGAATGTGTCTAAGAATTGCCTGGAGAACTTCGTTTAAAATCCTCAGAATCAAGGACAGTGGAGGGGAGCCTGGGACACAGGTGGGTGGGAGATTCTGAGGAATGGCGCTGCTCTAGTGTCCCTGGAAAAGGAGGAATCAGACATTGCTGTGAGGCACAGGGAACAGAAGGAACTTGAGCTCCTATATCTGACTTTCTGCATATGTGTCCATGAGATCCTGAGAGATCTGATTCCTAAGGAGAACATGTATGTCCATGAGATCCTCAGAGATCTGATTCCTAAGGAGAACATGTATATCCATGAGATCCTCAGAGATCTGATTCCTAAGAAGTACATGTATGTCCATGAGATCCTCAGAGATCTGATTCCTAAGAACATGTATGTCCATGGGATCCCCACAGAGATCTCCCTGAGGAGCACATGTCCATGAGATCCACAGAGATCTTCCTGGGACATAATACATCTATGTCCACATGATTCTCAGAGATTTGATCCCTGAGGGCATATGTGTCCATGTGATCCTTGCAGAGATCTCCCCGGGGAGCACACATGTCCGTGTGATTTTCACAGATATCTCCCTCAGGGGCACATATATATCCATTTGACCCTCACAGACATCTGGCGCCTGAGGAACATGTGTTTGTCCATGTGGTCCTCACAGACCTCCCTGAGGAGGGGCTCATTATCCCAGCCTTCAGGGTGAGGAAGCTGAGGCTCCACATGTCTCAACACTAGAAGGTGCCAGAAAAGGGCCCTTTTCCTTTCAGAAACATGTGTAGGGTTATGGTTCTCATAATTATTGAAGTAGAATGTATTGTTTTGGAGTTATTTAATCTCTCACGATGTTCATTAAAACTATATTCTACCCCTTCTCATTAAAGAAAGAAAAAGCCAGGATCAGCCCAGAACTATTCATTTTCAAAGACTGCAGCTTGACTGAATTTATTTTAAATGTGCAATGCTCTCAGATACTTCACATTGGCTTTTTAAAAAATTCACTTTTTATACAGACGTAAAATTGGAAGCATTTTTACTCCCAACAAATTCAAGATACCTACTTCCCTCTTTTTTCAGACATTTAGGGATATGAAGAAACCCCCTTAACCTCTCTTTTTACGATAGAATTTGTAGCATGAACCCTGCCTGTCAGCAGACAAAGTCCCTCAGATGACAGAACAGACTCGGCCACAAGCTGAAGCTCTGTGGTTCGCGCCAGAACCCGCGTGTTTGTGAAATTCAGAGGACTCTGTTTCCTCCCTCTTTTCATGAATGATGGGAGACATTTCCTAAGCTCCTTCCTGATGGGTGATTGGGGTGAACTGAAGCCTTCTGAGTAGGTAAAGCTGAGACTCACTTCTGCTTCACCTGCCTTTCTTTCACAGAGAAGGAGGGTGAAGCTATTTAAGATGGTGTTTCAAGTCCTAGGAATGGAACTGATTCAAATGGGGACCAAATTGGCTAAACTCCTGATACTGTCACAGAAAACAGTAAGTGCTAAACAATCCTTCCCCCAGCCCTGAAAATGGAGAACAATTTTGCATATTTACCTTCCCCCCTGGCAAAACTACTATTCAACCAGCCTTAATAAGGCACTTCACGTCATTAAAGGAGAACATTCCCCTGAAGCGAATCCTCAGAGGACATGAATAAGAGATGACTTCTGGTTATTTCCAGTGGGACATCTTGTGTTGCCATCTATATATATTAATGTCATCACAGATGAGTTGCCTATTATAACACATTTCCTCTGGGAACCATTGGGTATTTTAATAATTATTGAATTATTTATTGCTCACACAAAGCAGAGAAAAATTCTCTATGAGCAAGAACTCTTCTGTTATGAAAAAACAAAACACTTGGTCAGAAAATGTTCCCCTCCCCTCCCTCCCTCGCCTCTGCATGATTGAGAAAGTCTGCCAAAATGTATTTTGGAGACGGTTGTTAGCTTTTGTTTTACTTATTTATGTATGCTTTCATTTATGTATTTATGGGTTCGTCCTAAAAAATCTCGTGGGTCAGGAATGGGATGGTGGAGTAGGTTTTATTTTTTCTTTTGTAGTCATTTAAACACATGAGTTCTCACCTCCTTCCATCCTACCCCACCCTCCCTAATGAATAAATTCTTAGACATCACTGACGTCATATTAAAGTGACCTGGAGGCCGGGCGCCGTGGCTCACACCTGTAATCCCAGCACTTTGGGAGGTGGCGGCAGGCAGATCACGAGGTCAGGAGTTTGAGACCAGCCTGGCCAACATGGTGAAACCCCATCTCTACTAAAGATACAAAAAAATTAGCCGGCCGTGGTGGTGGGTGCCTGTAATCCCAGCTACTTGGGAGGCTGAGGCAGGAGAATCACTTGCACCCACGAGGTGGAGGTTGCAGTGAACCAAGATTATGCCATTGCACTCCAGCCTGGGCAACAGGGCGAGACTCTGTCTCACAATAAATAAAATAAAATAAATAATAACCTGGAGAGACTTTTAAAAGTTCTATCCCAGGCAAGTAAAATCTCAGTCTCTAGAGGATGACACCTAAACATGGGTATGCTGGGAAACCTATGCAGCTGATTCCAATCAGGGTTGAGATTCGCTTTGTAGGCTAAGATCAGGCTGTGACTCAGGCCTCAGGAGCCATGGGTGCGACTTCAGCTCCACCTGCAGCATCTGTCTCCCCAGCTCAGATTCCTCATCGTTAAGATGATTATCCAATCATTAACTACCCGCCATGCATAATATTAGAAAATACCATGCCAGGAAAAAGTACTCAAAAACCCAATGTTGGGCAAATATCAGATCGCATTATGCTCCAGCAAACAAATAGCAACTAAAACTAGTCACGTGCAAGTGCACTGAAGGCTTTAAGAAAAGATTAGTCAATCAGAAAAGAGGACTAAAAGTTCGCGCTCACAAATAAATGCCTCTAAATATGCAGAAGGGTTCTAGAAAGCCTTACATAAACATCATCCTTTCAACAACAAAAATGTCCCTAGGTGCTATACATAGAATGCTGATTTGCTGTATCCCAAATATGGAAATTATTTTACCAGAATGCATTGCTCAATTGCATATTGGAAGATTTGCCTGTGATTTTGCTTTACTGAAATAAATCCCTATAGAATCCATTGCTTTCTTTTGGACATGCCCTGATACCTGACCCCATTCTATTTCACTAACCAGATTGCAATCTCCTTGCATTCCGTTTCTCCTCCGTGGGCACCCAGTTTTCTCCAACAATGTTTTGATGAGGCTTCTTGAGTGGTTGTGGGGTGGGTGGTCACCAGCAGAGAGAACCTGTAGCAGGTCTGCCGGTTGGCCTGAACTCCCACGGCTTCTGCTATCCTGGGCTGAGGGTTTGTCTGTCTCAGTAGAAAAAACACGGCTGAGTAGAAGAAACAATGGCACCCAGGATACTGAGAGCTTTGTCCGGAAGCACATTTCCACGCTTCCTCCACCTTGAGTCTGTCTTGGATGGAGGTGAGTGTGTTGCCGTTTATGGGGTAAACTTGTAACCAAAGGAATTTCTGTGGTAAAGGGGAAAAATAAAGCCTTCAATTATTGTGCCTGCAACATGTTTGAAAGGATTCATTAATTGGGTGGCTAAGCTGATTTGCAATGACAAGCTGTTTCTACACAGCGGGGGTCTGTAGGTAATTTCTAACCCCAAATGGCAGGAAAGCACCATGGCTGTAGACTTTCAAACTGCACAGCAGCCAAAAAGCTTGCTAGATTCTCTCTCCCTAAACTAAACATAGCGTCACGTAAGTTTCTCCATTTACCAACAGGTGGTACAAGTTATAGGACCCAGGTTGGGAAACACCTTATGTTTATCCCATTATAAAGAACTCCAAGTGATTCATGGTCCTCATGAAAAAGAGAAAATAAATTCTACTAAATGACCAACATCATGTTGAGTTTAAAAGTTTTAGGCCAGGCGCGGTAGCTCACACCAGTAATCCCAGCACTTTGGGAGGCTGAAGCAGGCAGATCACGAGGTCAGGAGTTTGAGACCAGCCTGGCCAATATGGTGACACCCCCGTCTCTACTGAAAATACAAAAATTAGCCAGGTATGGTGGCACGTGCCTGTAGTCCCAGTTACATGGGAGGCTGAGGCAGAAGAATTGCTTGAACCCGGGAGGCGGGGGTTGCAGTGAGCCAAGATCGTGCCACTGCACTCCAGCCTGGGCGACAGAACAAGACTCCATCTCAAAAAAAAAAAAAAGAAAAAAGAAAAAAGAAAAAAAAAGAGTTTTAGACAAGGAAAAGCACTAGAAGAAAATAGTAATGTTCAGAAAACACAGGTCTTTTTTTTAGTTTACTAAGAATCAAGATTCTAGAGCAGGAAGCATCTTAGAAAAACAGAATTTCGAGACCTCAAGAACATGACACACACACACACACACACTCACTCAGTGGTGACTAAAGGAGTGGGGGATGACTTTAGAGCCAATCAACTTCCTGGAAAAAAAAATTATCTTTCTGTTGATGGCTTAAGGCATGTAAAATGTTAACAGCATCTCATGTCCGATCCTGGCCCAGAGATGAGCTGGTAAATGACTGTGGGCTAGTAACAAAGGTACTGGGATTACTTTTATGAGTTAAAAACAACAACAACACTTTAAGGTTGTTATGTTAGCAATTTAAAAGTGACAGAGGATGATGCAAGCATTTCTAACCCCAGTGCTTACCTTCAGAAGAAAGATAAACGATTCTTTATCTGGAGCTCCACAGCCTTTTAAATCCTGGAGAGTATTTCACAGTTACAAAGTTCCCTGTTTTTAAAATTCTTTGACTGTGCACTGGGAGCTAGAGAGGATTATTTCAGCCCAGAAAAGTTTTCAGTTGCTATGGAGAGAGCTGCTCTGAAGGTAACAATGAAGGTGGATAAAAGGGAGAACTTTCTGTCTGGTAGATTTTCAAGGTAATCAAATCAGTGTGGTTCATGAATTTAACTTTTTAGATCAAGAATTAACCAATTTTCTTAGGCTCACCTACTGTCACTTGCCTTTCAAGGGACAGAATCTAGGTCAAAGGATTTCACCTCGCAGAATAGAAAGACTTCAGTGTTAGATGAAGATTTTTTCCTCTCCAGTTGATTCTGTAATAACTGTTTCATCCAGGCTCAAACCAAAGATTTGTTGAAAAGATAGGCTCTTTGGAACCATATTTGTTTTGCAAGATGCAGAAGCCTAAAAGATTGAAGTCTTTCGTAATGAGATGCTTTCAAATGAAAAGTATTGGTTGAAGGAATGAAATTCTTACCAGGGATGTAGGTAGCATAAATGAGGAACTTTAATCAGCTGCATATATTGTGATCACCAGCACCGGTGGTAGTTCTTACATCAGATCCTTCATGCTCCTCAAAACAAAACCTCTCAACAAATTATTAGTGAATAAATGACTAAAGGAACAAAGTGGTTCATTTTCTAGGAAGCAAGAGAAGTTAAATCCTAAGATTTCAGAGTGGGCAGAATGCATGCCCACAGTATAGGGGTTTAAGTCAGCTGGTGGGCAGGTAGAGGAAATTTGAGATCAGGATGATTAGCCTCATCACTAATTGTATATGAAACACGGGAACCCTGCGGTAGGATATTCCTGAGAGAATGCTAGTAATGAGAGATGACAACTTGCTAGCAGCCCTGGCTCGCTCTTGGCGCCTCCTCAGCCTCAGCTTCAGCTCTCTCCGTCTTCAAGGAGCCCTTCAGCCCGCCGCTGCGCTGTGGGGGACCCTCTCTGGGGCTGGCCGAGGCCGGAGCCGGCTCCCTCTGCTTGCCGGGAGGTGTGGAGGGAGAGGCGTGGGCGGGAACTGGGGCTTGATCAGAGGCTGAATCCCGTGCGTGGACCAGAACGTTGGCCACGATGGCGGGTCTCCATCTCTTTCTTGCTTCCCGTCTTTTGCTCTTGATTGTCTGGGACGAGCTCCCTCTAGGCTGCTGGAGTGCCCGGGCTAGGTGCTCCGGATAGGTGCCACAAAGTCCCGTGGCTAGTGCCAGTGAGAGGTGAAGCCAGCTGGGCTTCTGGGATGGTGGGGACTTGGAGAACTTTTCTGTCTAGCTAAAGGATTGTAAAAGCACCAATCAGCGCTCTGTGTCTAGCTAATCTGGTGGGGACTTGGAGAACGTTTGTGTCTAGCTAAAGGATTGTAAGCACACCAATCAGCACTCTGTGTGTAGCTAAAGGTTTGTAAACGCACCAATCAGCACTTTGTCAAAATGACCAATCAGCTCTCTGTAAAATGGACCAATCAGCAGGACGTGGGTGGGGCCAGATAAGGGAAGAAAAGCAGGCCACCCCAGCCAGCAGCGGCAACCAGCTCAGGTCCCTTTCTATGCTGTGGAAGCTTTGTTCTTTCACTCCTCGCAATAAATCTTGCTGCTGCTCACTCTTTGGGTCCATGCCACCTTTATGAGCTGTCACACTCACCGGGAAGGTCTGCAGCTTCACTCCTGAAGCCAGCAAGACCATGAACCCACCAGAAGGAACAAACAACTCCAGACGTGCTGCCTTTAAGAGCTATAACACTCACCGCGAAGGTCTGCAGCTTCACTCCTGAAGTCAGCGAGACCACGAACCCACCAGAAGGAAGAAACTCCGGACATATCTGAACATCTGAAGGAACAAACTGCAGACACACGATCTTTAAGAACTGTAACACTCACCGCAAGGGTCCATGGCTTCATTCTTGAAGTCAGTGAGACCAAGAACCCACCAATTCCGGACACAGTAACACGGATGGAAATACGAAAGGCAAATATTCCTAGAAAATTTCAGGCTTTTTTTTTTTTAGATGGAGTCTCACTCTGTCACCCAGGCATGAGTGCAGTGGCATGATCTTGGCTCACTGCAACCTCCACCACCTGGGTTCAAGTGATTCTCCTGCCTCAGCTTCCTGAATAGCTGGGATTACAGGCAAGTGCCAGCACACCTGGCTAATTTTTTTGTATTTTTAGTAGAGACAGGGTTTCGCCATTTAATGGTGGCTAGGCTGGTCTCGAACTCCTGACCTCAGGTGATCCACCCACCTAGGCCTCCCAAAGTGCTGGGATTACAAGCGTGAGCCACTGCACCCAGCCCAGGGTTCTCTGTAATAAGCCCTCAGGGAACAGTTGGGCTTAACTGTCAAGGAAAGGAACTTGGCTTGTGTCTTGTGAGCTCTGTGCTGAGATTAACTGAAGTTAGAGTCTAGAATCAGCAGTCAAAGAGGGCAGCAGGGAGTTGGGACTGAAAGTCACGCCCTTTAAGCTGAGAGTCCAGTGGAGGCAGAGAAGCAAGGAGGGAGCAGGCTCAGGACCAGAGGGGCACCCGATCACAGCTCCCTGTGAGCTCCTCTCAGTGCCAGCTCTCATCCCCGGGGACCACTTGAGCATCTTTTTTTTTTTTTTTTTTTTTGAGACAGAGTTTTGCTCTTGTTGCCCAGGCTGGAGTGCAATGTTGTGATCTTGGCTCACCGCAACCTCCACCTCCCAAGTTCAAGCAATTCACTTGCCTCAGCCTCCTGAGTATCTGGGATTACAGGCATGTGCCACCACAGCCAGCTAATTTGTTTGTGTTTTTAGTAGAGATGGGGTTTCTCCATGTTAGCCAGGCTGGTCTCAATTGAGCATCATTTATAAGCTGTGTCCCAGTCTCTAAGACTTGGTGATGAGATCACTAAGGAGAAATAGTCCAATCCCTATTCAGCAAGTTCTCTGGTCCCACTATCACCTACGTTAACTTGCCAAAAAAAATCACACAAATTTAGAAAATAGACTTTATTTCTTATAAATGGGTTACAGCCTGCTAGGCGGCCACTCTGATAGGCTGGGAATCACAGCCTTGGCCATCCAGCATTTGCAGGCACTTCACAGGAGGAGGCACTGGGGCAGGAGACTTACGCTCTGAACATGTTGGCAAAACATACATATTCAATAGGTTACAGGAGGTGCTATGAATATTCATTAAAGGTCATCCTGATGCATGTGTATTGAACATGCATCTAACACACAACCCATGTTCACCTTGAGGTGGAGACTTAAAGTTTAAATGTATTACAATTAGGTCCTATATGTCAAAAGGTGAAGGAGACACACAGAGGTATTCAGTATGTAGCTTCTGAAAACCGGCTAGAACCAGTCCATGGCCAGTGGTCTCCAATCAGGAGAAAGTTACTGAAATCAGTCTCTCGTCCAATCAAAGCTGTAGTTCTGGCTGGTAGAATGAGGTGTCAGTCAGTGCCTGCAGGCTGGATGAGTTGTAATTGTTTTCATATTGCTTACCTCAAGGCCAGCGCTTGTTTAGCTGCTAGAGAAAAATAAAAACCTAGTGGCAGTTAGAACTTAGCTTAGGGTATGGTACTTAACTCTTGTATGGTATGGTCTCAGGACCTGTTCATAATTTGGCATCTTATTGCCACAAAGAGTCCATTCCAGTCTTACAGTCTCTATTTTAATATGAATGCTGGTCAGTGGTTGTGTCTAAACTGCAAAAGAGAGGAGGTACGACAAGGCATATCTGACCTTCCATCAGTCATAGCCAGGAACTCAGTTTTTAAGGTTTCTCTTGGGTCCCCTTGGCCAAGAGGGGATCCATTCACTCAACTGGATGGCTTAGGATTTTTAGTTACACCTGATACTTCCAAGTACCTGTCATTTGCCCTTGTCCCTGCAATTACCCCCACTTCCTGGCCCATCTCCAATGAGCAGATAACCTGCCTTGTTGCTGCAGGACTGGATCCTGATTCACTTTGACCAGTGCACTCCTGGGAGAGTGGGGGCTTCTCCTCCTCAGCACCAAGCCTACCTCTTGTGGGGCCTTCTCTGGCAGTTGTACGAGGTCCCTCAACTATGCTCTACCTCTAGGCCTGGCTACTCCCCGTATCTCCCTTTATGATGTCATCTTCCCTCTTCTCAAAGGCACTAACCTTGCTAAATAATAATTACAATAATGCTTATTAACATTGATCATCTCTTATGTCTAGGCACTCTGCTAAGTAACATTGTATTTTCTCAGATAATAGCAATGAAACCTAGTGAACTTCTCATGGTACAATTCAGAAACGCCCAGGGTCGCACAGCTAGTAGGTGCCACCAGAAATCAAGGTCTCTCTGTGTCAATTTGTGCTTGTACTACTGGGCAACTACCTGTTGCAATGGGACCCCATATTTTTATCTGTAATCTAAGATTCTTTTTACACTGCTGTACGGATACACAAATGACTCAGACAAACACTCATCAAAAAGGGAAATAACCTACTACATTTTAATTTTTGCATTCTCTCCAAAGCCTCTTCAGCCCAAAGTCTCAGAAAAAATTAATTTAAAAAAATTGTAGAACTTTATTACTCTAGCTAGTGGTCCTTCTGTTAATCTTTTCAAAAAACAAGCTCCTGGATTTTTTTAAGGGTTTTCATGTCTCTATCTCCTTCAGTTGTGCTCTGATCTTAGTTATTTCTTGTCTTCTGCTAGCTTTTGAATTTGTTTGCACCTGCTTCTCTAGTTCTTTTAATTACGATGTTAGGATGTCAATTTTAGATCTTTCCAGCTTTCTGTTGTGGGCATTTAGTGCTATAAATTTCTCGCTTAACAGTCCTTTAGCCATGTCCCAGAGATTCTGGTACATTGTCTCTTGGTTCTTATTAGTTTCAAATAACTTCTTTATTTTTGCCTTAATTTTGTTATTTACCCAGTAGTCATTCAGGAGGAAGTTGTTTAATCTCCATGTAGTTGTGCAGTTTTGAGTGAGTTTCTTAATCCTGAGTTCTAATTTGATTGCACTGTGGTCTGAGAGACTGTTATGATTTCTGTTCTTTTGCATTTGCTGAAGAATGTTTTACTTCCAATTATGTGGTCGATTTTAGAATACATGCCATATGGCACTGAGAAGAATGTATATTCTGTTGATTTGGGGTGGAGAGTTCTGTAGATGTCTATTAGGTCCACTTGGTCCAGAGCTGAGTTCAAGTCCTGAATATCCTTGTTAATTTTCTGTCATGTTGATCTGTCTAATATTGACAGTGGGGTGTTAAAGTCTCCCACTATTATTGTGTGGGAGTCTACGTCTCTTTGTAGGTCTCTAAGAACTTGTTTTATGAATCTGGGTGCTCCTATATTGGGTGCATATATATTTGGGATAGTTAGCTCTTCTTGTTGCATTGATCCCTTTACCTTTATGTAATGCCCTTCTTTGTCTTTTCTGATCTTTATTGGTTTAAAGTCTGTTTTATCAAAGACTAGGATTATAAACCCCTGCTCTTTTTGCTTTCCATTTTCTGGTAAATATTACTCCATCCCTGTATTTTGAGCCTATGTGTGTCTTTGCACGTGAGATGGGTCTCCTGAATACAGCACACCGATGGGTCTTGACTCTTCATCCAAAGAAGAAAAGAGAGAAGAATCAAATAGACACAATAAAAAATGATAAAGAGGATATCACCACTGATCCCACAGAAATACACACTACCATCAGAGAATACTATAAACACCTCTATGCAAATAAACTAGAAAATCTAGAAGAAATGAATAAATTCCTGGACACATACACCCTCCCAAGACTAAACCAGGAAGGTGTCGAATCACTGAATAGACTGATAACAAGTTCTGAAATTGAGGCAGTAATTAATAGCCTACCAACCAAAAAAAGCCCAAGACCAGACAGATTCACAGCCAAATTCTACCAGAGGTACAAAGAGGAGCTGGTACCATTCCTTCTGAAACTATTCCAAACAATAGAAAAAGAGGGACTCCTCCCTAACTCATTTTATGAGGCCAGCATCATTCTGATACCAAAACCTGGCAGAGACACAGCAAAAAAAGAAAATTTCAGGCCACTATCCTTGAGGAACATCAATGCAAAAATCCTCAATAAAATACTGGCCAACTGAATCCAGCAGCACATCAAAAAGCTTATCCACCATGATCAAGGCAGTTTTATCCCTAGGATGCAAGGCTGGTTCAACATACACAAATCAATAAACATAATCCATTACATAAACAGAACAAATGACAAAAAAACACATGATTATCTCAACAGATCCAGAAAAGGCCTTCAATAAAATTCAACATCCCTTCATGCTAAAAACTCTCAATAAACTAGGTATTGAAGGAACATATTTCAAAATAATAAGAGCTATTTATGACAAGCCCATAGCCAATATCATACTAAATGGGCAAAAACTGGAAGCATTCCCTTTGAAACCAGCAGAAGACAAGGATCCCCTCTCTGACCACTCCTATTCAACACAGTATTGGAATTTCTGGCAAGGGCAATCAGGCAAGAGAAAGAAATAAAGGATATTCAAATAGGAAGAGAGGAAGTCAAGTTGTCTCTGTCTGCAGATGACATGATTGTATATTTAGAAAACTCCATAATCTCAGTCCAAAAACTCCTTAAGCTGATAAGCAACTTCAGCAAAGTCTCAGAATACAAAATCAATTGCAAAAATCACAAGCATTCCTATACACCAATAACAGACTAACAGCCAAATCATGAGTGAACTCCTATTCACAATTGCTACAAAGAAAATGACTAAGAATACAACTTACAAGGGACATGAAGGGCCTCTTAAAAGAGAACCACAAACCACTGCTCAAGGAAAGAAGAGAGGACACAAATGGAAAAACATTCCATGCTAATGGATAGGAAGAATCAATGTCATGAAAATGGCCATGCTGCCTGCAGTAATTTATAGATTCAATGCTATCCCCATCAAGCTGCCACTGATTTTCTTTGCAGAATTAGAAAAAACTACTTTAAATTTCATGTGGAACCAAAAAACAGCCTGTATAGCCAAGACAATCCTAAGCAAAAAGAACAAAGCTGGAGGCATCAGGCTACCTGACTTCAAACTATACCACAAGGCTACAGTAACCAAAACAGCATTGTACTGGTACCAAAACGGATATATAGGCCAATGCAACAGAACAAGACCTCAGAAACAACACCACACATCTACAAGCATCAGATCTTTGACAAACCTGACAAAAACAAGCAATGGGGAAAGGATTTCCTATTTAATAAATGGTACTGGGAAAACTGGCTAGCCATATGCAGAAAACTGACACTGGACTTACTACTTCTTTAAACTTTTTTTCTGAATAGATGCAGAATATTCAACTGAAAAGGCATCTCCTAGATGTGGAACTAGTCTTATATATCTTCTGTCTCTGTGATCCTTTCAAAATAATATTTTCATTAATTAAAAAATGTCAGTCCTGAATGTACCCCTTGGTCTTTGATTTGGAAGCTGATAGTATATATGATTACACAAAAACTATAAATTTTATGTGCAACTGTCAAAAAATATTTTTATTATAAAAGTCCTATAAGATCACTAATAAAAGACTGTAGAAAATATCTAAGAGTTTAAAAAAAGGCAGTCTCTCCAGAGGTAACTGATATTATCTGTTATCATTTGGTTTCTCTCTCTTTGGTCTCTTGGCATATTTGGATTATATGTGTAATTTTGCAGTTTATTGTTTTTACTTTTTACAATATTATGTCATTCTCATTAAATATGGAATTTTTTTTTTTTTTTTTTTTGCTTTGAGACGGAGTTTCGCTCTTGTTGCCCAGGCTGTAGTGTAATGGCAAAATCTCAGCTCACTGCAACCTCTGCCTCCCAGGTTCAAGAGATTCTCCTGCCTCAGCCTCTCAAGTAGCTGGGATTACAGGTGCCCGCCACCATACCTGGCTAATTTTTTGTATTTTTAGTAGAGGCAAGGTTTCACCATGTTGGCCAGGCTGATCTCCAATTCCTGACCTTAGATGATCCACAGGCCTCAGCCTCCCAAAGTGCCAGGATTACAGGCTTGAGCCACCATGCCTGACCTTGGATCTGTTTTATTAATCATTGCAAAAGTTCACCTTTCAGAGAAGGAAAAGGAAAGGAGGGGTCTGGGCCTTGAGGATCATCCAACTCACCCTGCGAGCCCCTGGCTACCTATCCTTGGAGTTTTGGTTGAATGAAACCAATAAACTCCTATCCCCAAGAGATTGTTTTTATCAAGTTTTCTGTTGATTTGAGCCAAAGGCAAACACTCACAGAGCTTGAGACAATGATATGTCTTGTCATCTTGTTTCTTAAAGTGACACTTTCAGGCATAAAAGAGGCTGGTGGAAATGGAGAATTGGTATCAAGAGGCCTGGTGGGTGTGGGCACTTCATTTCATAGCTATTCTGAGTCACTCTGAGTGAATCACTGTGCACACAGGTGTATTCATTATCTATTTCTGCATGGAAAATCAACACAAACTTAATCACTTACAACGAGTGGATTATTTCATAATTTCTGTGGGTTAGAAGTCCAGGCACAGCTCAGCTGGGTCCCTTGCTTCTGGGTCTGTCAGAAGACTGCAATCCAGGTGTCAGCTAGGGCTGATGTTTCTTCTGAAGGCTCAACTGGGGAAGGATCCCCTTTCATGCTCATGTGATTGTTGACAATCTAATGTAATCTAATCACAGAATGACATCCTATATTTTACTGGTCAGAAGTGAATTGCAGGCCCCGCCCACACTTAAGGGGAGGAGACACCATATAGGCATGAATACCAGGAGGTGGGGATCACTGGGTGCCATAAGGCATCGAGGGTAGGGGTAGAAAATTATGAGTCAATTTGACAATTTACATTCCAAAGCCTGTGTTTGTCACCTGTACTCTCTTCAGGGGAGGTAGGTGGAACTTCTAATGACATTTTCTTTATCTCCTAACTCACTCTCTAACCGTGTCTTTAAGTCCCCCTGAATTAGCTACAAATATTACCAACAAAAAGACATCTTCAATGTTTGATATTTATTCAGAATCTTAAGTATTAGTGTAAAATACTGAAAATTTTCTTTTTAAATTAGCCTTATTTACTTGATCCTAAAATTAAGAACTCTAATTTCATATTAAAGAATATTAAACTACAGCACTATCAGATGTAGATTTTTACTCCACAAACCAAAAACATTACTGTTTTCAGAAATTTTTTAGAAAAACAGAGGGATTATATTTAATAGTTTATCCTGCTTTCAAGATTTTGGTGTCAATTGATGGATGTATCAAAATTGTGTGACTCATTCTAAAATTCCTATCTTTAAATAGCCCTTAATGATACTTTTTAAAACATAAACTCAATTATTTCCAAGAAAGAATATTTGATGTTATTTATGTGGATTGAACTAATGGCATTGACAGCATTCTACCAAATAAATTGTTCAATGATTATTCAATGGATTTCAGTCTCAGTATAAAAAGGGATCATTCCAATATTTAATTATTAGCACAACATATAATAAAATGTAAAGCATTTATGCATAATACACAGATTAAAACTATGTAAAATATATTCATGGCAAAAACATTGGGTATCAATAAAGTATTAATAGTAACCCACTAGTGGTAGGAATATTGGTGATTTTTCCTTCTTTTATATTTTCCAAATTCTATTGAAAACTTGTATAATTTAGTACAGCCAGAAAAAAAATCATTGTCTTAGTCTGTTTTGTGCTGCTATAACAGAGTAACACGGATTGGTAATTTACAAACAACAGAACTTTATTTGGCTTATGGTTCTAGAGGTTGGGAAGTCTGAGTTTGAGGGTCTGCATCTGGTGAAGCCCTTCTTGCTGCATCATGACATGGCAGAAGGCATCACATGGTGTAAGAGCATGAGAGCAAGAGGGCTGACCTTGCTTTTATAACAAACCCACTCCCATGAAAGTGATATTTATTCAGGAGGGCAGAGCCCTCATAATCTACTTACCTATTAAAGGTCCTACCTCTCAACACTATTGCACTGGCAACTAAGTTTTCAACACATAAATGTTGGGGGACATATTCAGACTGTAGAAATAATTTTTAAAAGATAATTATCCAAAATCACTGATATTTATTTGCCTAATTTGTTTTAGCATCAAAACTCTTCTTTTAAAAGACATCTTGAAAAGAACTCTAATATATAAATTTGATAACAATTATTGTGTCCTGGGAAGTATTTTATTTTCTAGAACTCCACAAAAACGACTGGGCCAGAGGGTTTCTAAAGTTCTTAAAACAGGCTGTAAGAATTCTGTGCTCCATAATATTTTGTTTTTAATCCTACCTGTCCCATGGTGTAATTTACATGTTCATACCTATATCTCAGCCATTACTGGGGCATGGGTCTCAGGCATCTTTGTGTCCCCTGGAATCTAGTACTGTATTTTGTGGCTAGTAAGTATCCATGAATTGGAAATAATGGCCACTATTAGTCAACTTTAATATGGACACTTAACTCCATTAGACATAGACTATTACCAGTTTTTTTTTTTTTTTTTTTTTTTTTTTTAAAGTACGAGTCTGACAGACCTAGGGAAAAGAATCCTTGCTCCGGATAGGACTTATTAAGGGGCCTCTGAGCCTTATTCTCTTCATTTTTAAAATGGGGGCATCATCTTTCCTTATGACATCTTGGTACCTAGCACATCCATGAGCTCATCAAATAGGACTATGATCACACTGCAGTTATCATCCAAGCTCTACAGCATTATTCTAGAGAAAGATCCCTCTCTTTGGCTCCTTCTCTAAACTCCTTCCCTCTGCTTCTGCCACACTGAGCTTCTCCAGATTCTGGTATTCATATCTTCTCTCAGGCTGGAATGGGCTCTTCTCCCCTCAGCTGCCAAATCTGTAGGTTTTATTTCAAGGACCAGCTCAAACACTACTTCCTTTTAAAAGATGTCCATGATTCCTCTGCAGTGGTAGAATCCCCATCATCTGTGCTCCATAATACTTTGTTTTTAATCCAACTTGTCCCATGGTGTAATTAAATGTATACATCTATATCTCGCCCATTAGTGGGGCATGGGTCTCAGTCATTTTTGTGTCCCCTGGCATCTAGTACTATATTTGATAGCTAATAAGTATCCATGAATGGGAAATAATGGCCACTATTAGTCAACTGTAATGTAGACACTTAACTCCATTAAACAGACTATTACCAGTTTTTACAAAAAGAAGAGGCAAGTCAACATTGTTGGGATCTACTGCTAAATGTAGAATCAGAGGATATCAATGAATGAATGAATGGAATTCCTACTATGAGGGGAAGGGCTGGAACCAGCAATGGAAGATTCCAATACAGCGATAACACAGAAGTATCAAAATGCCCTTGAGCTGGAGAGGCAGGCAAAAGCCCCACACTATGGACATGGACCTCAAGTGAATCCAGCAACTTTTCCTACAAGATGTTAAATTCATTGAGGAAACAGTACTTCCCAGTGAGTTGGTTAAACCCATCTATCCAATATTGAGGAAAACAACTGCTTTCTCAAATGGCTAAATCTATCAGTCAATAATTACCCACGGTACTGTGACGGAACAGTAAAGTCATGTGAAAAATGTGGCTTTTATTTCTTTATGTCACCTTCAGTCTAAATCTGAGCCTCCATGTTGGCTGATGGTGGGCAATTCCACCCTCAGGTGGGGCCGGAGTCCCAGATCAAACACCAGGGAAACTCATCAGTGGTGCATCTGAGTAATTGCTGAGAACTCTCACATCTTAATTTCTACAGTCCGGTCAGTCCAGTTTCGTTCATGGACTCTGCTATTTCCACTCTGCACATGGGGCTCAGAATCTTTGCCAAGACTGGACATTTGTCTCAGTTTTAGGTATTCCTCTGAGGCCTGGCCTCGGAGGTTTGTGTTACCCGGGGCACAGTTTCAGCACAGTGGGTTAGGCTCCGGTTCTCACTGGAACCAATGCCTGTGTGGGTGACATTTCCTTTCCTTCCTCTTCTCAAAGATGCTTTCATCTCTTCCCTCATCCTCACGGCCCCTGGCATCATCTGTTTCATGAAAGTTGGCTCTTATAAAAGCCAGAAAGACCCTTTGATATCAATCAGTTCTGCTTGCTCTGTTCAAAAATTCCCGAGGCAAAAAAGCACTAAGATTCTAGCTACCGGTTTGGAATAGGAAAGGAAGTAGAGAAGTTTTTTTAAAGAGATAATCCCAGAATGATTAGCATCATAAAAGTCAATAAAAATTATTAACATTTAATAAAGAAATGCTTCCCTTAATATATTTTTCAGAAATAATTTCTAGAAAAACTTTAATTCAACAAATTATTCAGCAAGCACATGTTTATAACCTGCCAAGTGAAATATACTGCTATAGCTACACTGTTATATAACACAAAGATGTATAGCATCAAGACCCTGTTCTCCCATGTGCTTGGTCTAATGGGAGGTCCTGGCCCATCCTAATGTAAAAGGGTTGAGGATATATCCTGTGTTCTACCAGTAAAGAGAATTTTCCTTTTAATTAAACTTTGGATAATTGAAAAGAATATAAAAAGATAAACCCAATGGGGGGTTCATAAAGACACAGAGCCACAAAATGAGGCAGCCTTACCTTAAGCAGTGGGTCTTGATCTTGTTTTGCCTCTCCACCTTCTTCCCACATACTTTTCCCAAACTACTTCCCAACCTTCCGTTCTCCATTTCTCTGAACTGACTCATGCATTATCGCTCAGTTTATGTATTATTTTCTCACGCCTTGCATAATGGGAATTCATAGCTTCCTGTAAGTTTCTTCATTGTGTTCCATTAAATAAAAATAAGCTATTTGTCATTATTTGTTTAAACTCTGTTCCTGCAGGGCTGTAAAGTCTCCAAGGAGAGGGACTATATCTTTCTATCACTGGTGTATCCCCAGTTTTCACATCATGCTTGCTATATAGTGAGTGCTCAATGGACATTTGATAAATAACTGAATATATGACCCAAAGGAGGGAAAGTTGATTAGAATTGGTTGATCCTTGAATGGATAAAAGGGCATTGATGTGACCAGGAGATCCAAACTAGAAGAGGGGAGGGCTAGCTTAGAAGAATGTGACTCAACCACTGAAAAAAAAATCCATGAAAAAGATAAGGTGCTGAATAGAGAAAATGGTGACATGAGAGCTATGCCTTCATCTCTTGTTTTACTCACAATCCCCCTCTTCTGAAAAGAATAAGTAGCTCCAGCTAATGGCTGTGCCTCACTTGCTAAACTAAGCACTTTTGTTTAAATAGCCTTTGTCTCCCACATTCCTACTATAAAAACCCAGATCAGATCTTCCTCGAACTGGAGGATATTGTATATTATAAGGAGGGATCTCACTGGGATCCCATAACTACTAGTCAAGAGCCTAGATTCATGAGAGTAAAAGTAACTAGCCTAATAGACCGCACAACTCTACTAGATGTCATTCACGTAGTCCATGATGTATGTAGCACCCCTAGAGATATGTGATGCAGTGTTCCAGCATGCACTTTGGGAGGGCCAATCCAATTGTATTAGTTAGGGTTATCCAGAGGAATAGGAGAAGTAAATATAGATATAGACACAAATAGACATACAGAAATAAAGATTTATTATAAGGAATTGGCTCTTAAGACCATAGATGCTGAAATTTCCCAGGATCTACAATGTGAAAGCTGAGACCCAGGAGAGCCTATGGTATAGGTTCCAGTTCCAGTCCAAAGGTGGAAGAAGAGAGATGTCTCAGCTTGAAGACCACCAGGCAGAGGGAACGAATTCACCCTTCTTCTGCCTTTTGGTTCTAGTCCAGCCTTCAGTGGATTGGATGATGCTGACCCACACTGGGGAGGGCCATCTGCTTTAGCCAATCAGCCAATTCAAATGTTAGTCTCATCCAGAATCACCCTTACACACACACGCAGAAATAACATTTCACCAATTATCTGGGCACCCTGTGGCCCAGTTGACACTAAAATTAATAATCACACCAATGTAATATTATTAAAACTCAGCATCCTATTATATTAGAACTTCTGGAAACTTAAGCTTCTCTTTAGGGATACGTAATATTTCGCATTTGATATGGTTTGGCTCTGTGTCCCTACCCAAATCTCATCTCAAATTGTAATTCCCATGTGTCGAGGGAGGGAGGTAATTGGATCTGGGGGCAGTTTCCCCCCATGCTGTTCTCATGATAGTGAGTTCTCATGAGATCTGATGGTTTTATAAGCATCTGGCATTTCCATGCTTGCACGTGTCTCTCCTCACCATGTAAAGAAGGTCCTTGCTTCCCCTTCACCTTCCAGCATAATTTTAAGTTTCCTGAGGCCTCCCCAGCCATGCAGAACTGTGAGTCAATTAAACCTATTCCCTTTATAAATGACCCGGTCTCAGTAAGTTCTTTATAATAGTGTGAAAACAGAATGGACTAATATACCATTTGAACCTATTCAGACTTTACAGTCTAAAAAGGTATAAAATGATTAAGGCCAATCTAGGGGAATACTGGAGGTGCAGTGTGTTTAGTATGGCACTGGAAATCATGGATGGAATGTCATCAAGTAGAACTAAACAAATTCATTCTTATCAACCAGTTTCTAAGATGGCACTGTTATTTCTTAAATGCCATTTGAGGAGAAGAGTAGACCCTGGAAACCTGCACTGAGCATCCTTCTCTTCTCTGGCATACATTGGTTCACCAAACTGAAGTTTGATCCTGAATCTATTCTTAGTCAGGAATCTGCCATAGAAGTGTGTAATAAACAGGCCAAAGAGTTAAATGTTTCAGGCAGATGTAAATATAAATCCCTACCACTGTCATTCATAAGATTTGTGACCTTGGAAGCCTTCTAAGGTTCAATGTCTTTATCTCTAAAAGGCAGATAATGATTTAGTAGCTATTTCGTGTGAAGATTAAATGACGCAGACCACGTGAAGTGTAGCATCTGGCACTGCAAATGCTAAACATTATTAGCAAAGCCAGAATTTTGTTAGATTCATTTCTTCTTTAAGTTGGTTAAACATCCATAGATATCCAGCATAACTGCCCAATTCTGGGTCCAGTTTCCAGTTGTGCTACATCAATACCTCTTTTCAGGTTATAAATATGTAACAAGACTTCTGGTTAACATGGTATATATTTATCTCAAATCTTTCCTCCAAACACATTTATAATGAAAATAGGGGATGATAAAAAAGCATAAATAATTGAATAAAGAGAACAGAGAAGGGACAACAACAATAAAAAAAATCTAAAAGCTGAAAATGGAAGAGTAGTCATGTCTTCACATGCCAAATTGGAAATCTACTTGCATGAAGAGGAGGGCACTGAAGAGAAACAAAACCCTTTGTCATAGTCCAACAAGGAGGCTCAGGAATGGAGCACGATACCTTTGAAGACCTGGACTAGGGTGAACGTAAAATGGGGACTGGCTGGATGTGGTAGTGCCCCAATTTACATGTAACTGATGTGAAAGGTGAGGAGCACCTCCCAACGATGGCTGATGAGGAGCACCTCCCAACGATGGCTGAGTTCTGTAGTATGAATACTCCTACTGTGGCTCATTTCAGGCTACCAATAAGAGAACACTGAACCATCTATCGGGAAGAGCCAGGTGTAAGCCCACTCCAGCACACCACTAGCTGAAAGTCATAGCAAGAAATAGTTAGACTCCAGTCTTCTTCTGCAAGCCACACCACTGCGTAAGTACTTTTCCCTCGCCCTGGAAGAAGGATCAGAGTTTACTTCTGGAAAGGCTGAGTCAGAAGAATTCTGAACTTGGGGATAATAAATGTGGTTGGATATATGTGTGGGGTGGGGGTAGGAGAGGAGGATGACACTATGAAGAAAGGTATAAAGTTAATACTCTATCCTAAATGTTGGCTCCATTCAGGTACAGCTTTTATTCCTAGAGAAGATATTGTATCTATGAATCAGGAACAGAATAATGTAAAAAAAATTCTTAAAGAGCTCTTGAATATTACTAATATGATAGCAGTAGTAAATATTTCAATAAGAGGGTTAGAAAAGAAGTATTGTAGATGAGCAGAAATAATTTTAAAAAAACAAAGATTACAGGTCTAATTTTCAAATAATAAAAGTTCAGAAAGAGCAGAGAAAAAGAGACGAAATTATAAATAACACAAAAATATTTCCTAGAATTGAAGGACATGAGTTTCCAGATTGAAAGGGCCTAGTAATTCCAGCATTGTAAAATTACTGAGTGCTGGAGATGAATAAAAGATCCAAATCACCTCCAGAGAGGAAAAAACAATATGTCATACCAAAAAGGTACAGAATTGGAATAGCACCAGACTTCTTGATAGCAACTCTGGATGCTGAGAGACTGTATAATAATTTCTTCAAAATTCTTAGGAAAACCAATTCACAAGAAAGGAGAGAAGAGAATCCAGAATGAATGTCTCCTAGAAAAATCGTAAGTCTAATAGATGGCCCTATATGTTTGGGTGAAGATGACATTAATCATTAAGCATAGAAATTAAATTAGGGATAGAGCCTTCAAACAAAGCAAAAGAGAGAACATTTTAATGGAAAGCAAAACAAAGTAATATAAGACATAAAAGCCTACTATATGGCTCATGATAGTGTAATGTAATAGCACTGAATATTGGTTTAACAAAAAAAGTGATAACTTTGTTGAGAGGATGGAGATAAAGGAACTCTTTTTTTTTTTTTTTTTTTTTTGAGACGGAGTCTCGCTCTGTGGCCCAGGTGGGAGTGCAGTGGCGCAATCTCGGCTCACTGCAAGCTCCGCCTCCCGGGTTCACGCCATTCTCCTGCCTCAGCCTCCCGAGTAGCTGGGACTACAGGCGCCCGCCACCACGCCCGGCTAATTTTTTTGTATTTTTAGTAGAGACGGGGTTTCACCGTGTTAGCCAGGATGGTCTCGATCTCCTGACCTCGTGATCCGCCCGCCTCGGCCTCCCAAAGTGCTGGGATTACAAGCGTGAGCCACCGCGCCCGGCCGATAAAGGAACTCTTGAGGGCAGTGGTTGAAAGAGCTGCTAAAGAAAATGCTTCTGGTTATAGATCCTAGAGAAACACTTGCATCTTTCAAAGAGGCAGCAACATGTTAAGCGATCTTCTTATCAGTACTGTTATGAAAATCTAGAACCTCCTAATTGACCATCAACAGGGCAATAGTATTTATATTTTTCAGTTGACTATATGCAGCCAATAAATTAATAAAGTCATTTAATATGTACTAATAAGAAACAATCACTAAAAGTAATCATAGGTTGGGCACAGGGGCTCACACCTGTAATCCCAATGCCTTGGGAGGCTGAGGTGGGAGGACTGCTTGAGGCCAGAAGTTTGAAACCAGCCTGGGCAACATAGTAAGACCCCCATCTCTACAAAATTAAATAAATAAGCTGGGCACAGTGCCTCACACCTGTAGTCCCAGCTACTCAGGAAGCTGAGGTGGGAAGACTGCCTGAGTCCAGGAGTTGAAGACTGCAGTAAGCTACGATTGCGCCACTGCAATCCAGCTTGGGCAACAGAGCAAGACCCTATCTATCAATCATAATCATAAGCAAAAAAATAAGGCACTTATTCCTGCATTTGTGTAAAAAGAAACATGAGGGAAGGTAAAGCTTGCTTTCTGTCTCTCTCTCCATATATATGCATATATATACACACACACATATATATACTAAGTTTACTATATTCTGCCAAAATGTTATATACACACAAATATAAGTGTATGTACATATACCTATATCTATATATTATATACACAATTTGCATTTTAAAATTTGTATACATGTATTTGCATCATCTATTCTTTGATGATGATAACTATAACAAACATCATAAGACACCCAATTTGTTGTTCTCAGGGCTGAGAGTGGAAAAGCAGCCTGAAGCTCTAGTATCACACTCTTCCCTCAAAGGAAGGCCTTGAGGGCCAGCCATATCCAGGCTGGAAGAAGTGGAATGGCACTGGGAAGCCCACAAGCCCTTGCCTGCCACCAATACCCCCATCCTCACCACCAACCCCTTGCTCTGGGTGGCTGTTTTTGGTGAGTACAGCTTTTGCTCTGGGGCCTTTGGCCTGTGCTGGCCATCAGTCTTGTTTTCACCAGGACTCTATCCCAGAGCCAGTTCTGTTTCTGACCTAGTCTACCTTCAGTGACCTGGGCTCACTCTTGCCTAGGAAAAAAATTCAGACGGATACAAGTGCTGGTTTTCCTTCCTTCCTTTTTCCTCTTTCTTTCAAAACCCACTTAGTGGCTCAAGAGCCAGAATCCCAGGCTCAAATTCTGTTTCTGCCACTTGCTGTGAGATGAGCTTCTGAAATTTTCTCTCAGTTTCCTCAACTATAAAGTAAAGGTTATAATGAAACTTACCTTCATAGGGCTGTTGTGAGGAGTTAAATAAATAGTAATGAGGCCAGGCTCAGTAGCTCACGCCTGTAATCCCAACAATTTCGGTGGCCGAGGTGGGTGGATCACCTGAAGTCAGGACTTCGAGAACAGCCTGGCCAACATGGTGAAACCCCATCTCTATTAAAAATACAAAATTTAGCCAAGCATGGTGATGCACACCTGTAATCCCAGCTACTCGGAAGGCTGACACAGGAGAACTGCTTGAACCCAGGAGGCAGAGGTTGCAGTGAGCCGAGATCATGCCCCTGCACTCCAGCCTGGGCCACAGAGCAAGACCGTCTCAAGATAAATAAAATAAATAGTAATGCAAGTAATGACATACATAGCACATAGGAAATGTTCATGAGGCTTACGAATTATGTATACATTTACATAGTATCATACTTAGGTATTTGAGTATCTACCTATGTTATTATGTCCTAGGTGCTGGTGACACGTGGTGAACAGGATAGTCACTGCCCACACTGAGTTCGCAGTTTGTCAAAGAAAGCCTGGTAATCAGTCAGCCAGAATGTAGCAGAGTCAGTACTATAATATGGGATATTCAGTGTATGCAATGGGGATCCCTAACCCAGTACTGAAGCCATAGGAGACAACAAAAAGCAAGTTGGCTTTTAGCACTATAATAAAATGCAGAGGTCTCTGACATCAAATGAAGCAGAGAGGCTACAAGTGTCCATGAACAAAGTGGTTATCACTGGACACAAATCACCATCCAGCTACAACCGAAGGTTTCCTCTGGCGACAAATAAATAAGACCTTCAAAATGACCCATGCGTGAGGAGTCACAGTTGATACTGACTAAGCAGACAGAGACCTTTGAGCACCTACTTGATTTAATGGCTTGGGCCGCACAAGTTTTTCTGAGAAGAGAGTTAGGGAGTGTTGAGAAAGGCATATAAAGTTGAATCTTGAATTCAGATTGGGGTTCAGATTTCTGTAAGCATTGTGCTGGCACACTCTAGACTGTCTCTTGGGCACAGGAATGTGCCCCATAATGTGAACTTTATGGGGCATTTTTCCATCTGTAAAATAAAATCTTCCCTGCTCACTGAAGCAGGAACTTGGAAAGGTTTTTTTTTTTTTCTTTTAGATCTGTAATTTTAAGATCTTCACAATATAGGTTTATTTTACAAACCCCACTCATTGTACAAGTACTTTAAAAAAAATTTTTTTAGATACTTGCATTATTCAGTGTTCTCTAGAGATACAGAGCTAATAGTGTGTGTGTGTGAATGAAGTGATTTATTTTTGTTGTTGTTGCTGAGATGGAGTCTCGCTCTGGCACCCAGGCTGGAGTGCAGTGGCACGATCTTGTCTCACTACAACCTCCACCTCTGGGGTTCAAGCCATTCTTGTGCCTCAGCCTCCTGAGTAGCTGGGACTATAGGCACCCACCACACCTGGCAAATTTTTGTATTTTTAGTAAAGACAGGGTTTCACCATGTTGGCCAGGCTGGCCTCGAACTCCTGATGTCAGGTGATCTGCCCCCCTCGGCCTCTCAAAGTGCTAAGATTACAGGCATGAGCCGCCATGCCCAACCAATGCAGTGATTTATTATTAGGAATTGGCTCACGAAACTGGGGAGGCTGAGAAGTCCCAAGATTTGCCATCTGCAAGCTGGAGACCCAGGAGAACAGGTGGTGGAATTTAGTATGAGACCAAAGACCCAAGAACCAGCAGAGTCAATGGTGTAAATCCCAGTCCAAGGGCAGGAGAAGACCCAAGAACCAGCAGAGTCAATGGTGTAAATCCCAGTCCAAAAGCAGGATAAGACCCAGCTCCAGCAGGCAGAAAGAAGCAAAAGCAACAAATTCCCCCTCCATTCTTCTGCCTTTTGTTCTATTCAGGCTTCAGAAGATTGGATGACAATCACCCATAATGGAGAGGGCAACCTACATTACTAAGTACAACATTTCAAATGCAACCTTATCCAAAACCACCCTCACAGACACACTCAAAGACAATGTTTAATCTGGGCACCCCATGGCCCAGTCAACTTGACACATAGAATCAACCATCACAAATACCAAGCGTCGAGAGGGTAGGGATACTGCTGAAAATATCAAAACTAGACTCGGGGAGGGATCATTTTGAGGTCTCTGAGTGTCAATACATGATCTTCAGAGAGACCTAAAAATGTACAGTTTAATGAATTCTTTTCTGCCTAGGTCATGAATCTTGATGTGGAATCACAGAGCAATTCCGTATCTATTCTCATTCCTAGTCAAGCAGCATTTAGATGTACGTGTTAAACATCTAGCTAAAGTAAGTCTTGCAAAAGAACAAAGGATGTCTTTTTTTTTGGCTGGATGTGGTGGCTCACATCTGTAATCCCAGTGCTTTGGGAGGCTGAAGGGTCGGATCAGTTGAGTTCAGGAGTTCAAGACCAGCCTGGCCAACATGATGAAACTCTTGTCTCTACTAAAGTACCAAAATTAGCTGGGTGTGGTGGCTCTCGTCTGTAATCCAGCTACTTGGGAGGCTGAGGCAGGAGGATCACTTGAACCTGGGAGATAGAGTTTGCAGTGAGCCAAGACTGTGCCACTGCACTCCAGCCTGGGCAACACAGTGGGACTCCATCTCAAAAAAAAAAGAAAAGAAAAAAGGATTTTTTATTAAAGGATCCAGAACTATCTCATAGAATCTAAAGCATGAACAGGCCGGGCACAGTGGCTCACGCCACCCAGCACTTTGGGAGGCCATGGTGGGCGGATCACAAGGTCAGGAGTTCAAGACCAGCCTGGCCAACATATTGAAACCCTCTCTCTACTAAAAATACAAAAAAAAAAAAAAAAAAATAGAGCCAGGCGTGGTGGTGGGCACCTGTAGTCCCAGCTACTTGGGAGGCTGAGGCAGGAGAATCACTTGAACCCGGGAGGCAGAGGTTGCAGTGAGCCAAGATCACACCACTGCTCTCCGGCCTGGGCGAGACAGCAAGACTCTGTCAAAAAAAAAAAAACAAAAAAAGATTAAAAAATGAAAGCACTGAACCCTCAGGCCTGAGAAAGGGAAAACCAAAGCCCTATCAGGGTCTTCCTCAACAGGAGGCTACCGAGCTACACCCCCATGCTGCACCATTATAGCCACTTAGCTCCAGTTCTTTCTTGCTATGTTCAAACTCCAAAAAAGATGTTGAGTCCCAGCTGGCCAGTCAACAGAGGGCATCATAGAGTAGTGGTTACGTAACCAGAACGTGGACACAGACTTGGGTTGAAAGCCTGTCTCTACCATGCACTAGCTGCATGAACTTGGGCAGAGTATAAAGACCCAGTTTTAAAAATCTATGAAACAGTATGTATATCATAAGTTACTGTTGAAATGTGATGAGATAAACCATGTACAGTTCTCAGCACCATTTCTTTCACATATTGGTATATGTATTTTTAAAAATCTCTACTCCTGAACCCATCAGTAGGCACTCTTAGTTTTCTCTCCTAGCCTGATTTATTCTGTACAGATAAGGCCAGAGAAAGAGGTCAGTAGCTTGGCCCACCTATTCCCTTGCACACTTTGTTAGCCTCTGGCCAACTTGGCCCTATGAAAACTTAGCAGCACTGAGAAGTAAGATCTCTTTTCCTGACATGTGTAGAAGTCAAAGGAAAATTTTCCTGTTATCCTCTGAAGGTTTGCTTAAAAACAAACAAACAAACAAAAAAAAAAACCTGACAAAAGCCAGATTAAAATGAAAAAAGTCATACAAATGTATGTGCTTAGGTAAGAACCACAGAGTGATTACCCCAGCCCCTAATGGGTTTCAGAAACACGTATACCATCTCGAGGTTACAGAAAGAATGGGAGCTTGGAGCATGGCTGGAAACAGATTATGGTGGTAAATCAGGTTATACTGGCAAGGTAGGTTATGGGAGAAAGACCACAAGGCCTGGCTTGCAAAGGTGGTCTTCTTATGTAGACGAAAGCCCATAGGTAGCTAATCCCAGAACAGATGGTAAATGTTTTTTTCAGACCTTTAAGGTGTCCAACTCTCAGTTAATCTTTCCTAGATTCAGAAAAGGGAAAGCCAGGCTGCATCAGTGCGGATTTTCTGTACAGATGCGAGTCTCCCCTACAAAAGACAGCTTTTCAACTACTCTTATATTTCCAGCACTTCTGAATACCCATCTTGAAATATTAGGTTGATGCAAAAGTAATGGCGGTTTTCTCCATTACTTTTAACGGTGAAAACCACAATTACTTTTGCACCAACCTAATATGTCAAAGTGGTGTATTTGGGGGTAAAACATTTTGGTTTCCTTCACATCTCTGTAGGCTTTAGAGTGAGAGACAACTTTAGAGAAGTCTGTGTGTAGATGTCTTCCCCAGAGAGGGAGAATCTGGCGGCAGGAGGTAATTGGCAATTACTTATAAATTTTTCGGGTTTTTTTCTTTTTTTTTTTTTTTGAGACAGAGTCTCACTCTGTCGCCAGGCTGGAGTGCAGTGGCGTGATCTCGGCTCACTGCAACCTCTGCCTCCTGAGTTCAAGCAATTCTCCTGCCTGAGCCTCCCGAGTAGTTGGGACTACAGGCATGCACCACCACGCCTAGCTAATTTTTCTATTTTTAGTAGAGACAGGGTTTCACCATGTTGGCCAGGATGGTCTTGATCTCTTGACCTCGTGAGCCACCCGCCTCGGTCTCCCGAAGTCCTGGGATTACAGACATGAGCCACCACGCCCAGCCTCTTTATTTTCAAAACATCAGAAACTTCAACTCAAAAAGGAAAAAAAAAAAAAGAGCCAGGACGTTGCTGAAGTCCAATGGCCATTCTCCTGGTCCACCAGAGAGTGGATTGCCATTGAAAAATCCAATAACGCCGATGACAGCCTGACTCAAAGAGTTTAGAAAAAAACTAAACCAAAAAAGAATGGATGCAACCACCATACACCCATTAGAATGATTATTACCAATGTTTTAAAAGAAACTGGAAAATAACAAGTGTTGGCAATGACTGTAGAGAAACTGGAAACCCTTATGCACTCTTGGTGAGAATGTAAATTTGTGTGGCTGCTACGGAAAACAGAATGGAACGCTTCCTCCAAAAATTAAAAATAAATTTACCACATGGTCTAACAATTCCATTTTGGGCTATATACCCAAAATAATGTAAAGCTGGGTCTCAAAGAGTTATCTGTATACCCTGTTCATAGCAGCATTGTTCACAATAGCCAAACAGTGGAAGTAACCCAATATCCATCAATGGATGACTAAATAAAGAAACTTGTCTACTCATACAATAGAATAGTTTTCAGTCTTAAAAAGGAAGGAGGCTGGGCGCAGTGGCTCACACCTGTAATCCCAGGCAGATCACCCAAGGTCGGGAGTTCGACACCAGCCTGACCAACATGGAGAAACCCTGTCTCTACTAAAAATACAAAAATTAGCCAGGCGTGGTGGCACATGCCTATAATCCCAGATACTCAGAGGCTGAGGCAGGAGAGTTGCTTGAATCCAGGAGGCAGAGGTTGTGGTGAGCCGAGATCGAGATCATGCCATTGCACTCCAGCCTGGGCAATAAGAACAAAACTCTGTCTCAAAAAAAAAAAAAAAAAAAGGAAGGAAATTCTGATATGCTAGAACATGGATAGACCTTGAAGATATTATGCTAAATGAAACTAGCCAGTTATGAGAGGACAAATACTATATAATTCCACTTATATGAGGTTCCTAGAGTAGTCAAAGTCATAGAGACAGAAAGTAGCATGTCAGTGTTGGTGGCCAGGGCTTGGGTGGAGAAGAAATTGCGAGTTGTTTAATGGGTGCGAAGTTTCAGGTTTGCAAGATCAGGAGTTCTGGAGATGGACCATGGTGACTGTTGTGCAAAAATGTGAATGTACTTACTACTGAACTGTGTGCGTGAAATTGGTTGAGATGGTAAGTTTTATATGTATTTTATCACAATTACAACAAAATGAATGTGTATATGGACTCCAGGCAGCTTGGCTGGGTGGAGGTAAAGGTAGCTACCAGCTTCTTTCCCACTTCCTGCTGGTGAATCTGCCCACTTCCCTAAGTCAGAGTTTGTCTCTCTCACAAGGCCAAATCTCTCTTCCCAAGAGTTGTTTCAATAATAAAAAAAAAAACACTGCAACCACCAGGAAGATGGTTACTTAAACCAGTGTTTCAATCATGGGCTGCCATTGGATGAGCCTGATGTTTTATAAAAATACCATCTCCAGACTTTACCTCCAGAGATTTGCCTTAATTATATTGGGGCAGGGCAGTAGTTTCATGGAATGGGACCCTAAAGGAAGTCTCTTCTTTCTTCCATTTGGGCCCTGGGCTCTCCTCCCCCCATCCCAGGGAGGCCACATTCTAATGATTACAGCCTCTCACCTGTGGGTCCTTACACTTTGCCCCTCCCCTAGCTTCTTTTCTGTACTCAGGTAATACTGAAACCATTCCCTTTAGCTGCTTTTGCTTGGTCTGCCTCCTTCAAACTTCTTGAAACTGCTTTTGGCAAGGTCACGATGACTTTTCTAATGTTACATCTAGTAGACAGCTTTCAACTCCTGTCTTACCTGATACAGGGCAGCCTTTGGCAGACACTCTTTCCTTGGCCTTTGGAAACTCTTGTAGAATCCTCCCTGGCTGCTTCTCCCAGGTTTCCTTGAAGGTTTTTTTCCTGCCTCTCAAACGGTTATGTTAATGCTCTCCTAGATTCTGTCTAAAGCCCTCTTTTTTATTCCAATTCTTTCATTGACTCAGTGGAGTCGACAAATACTATCAAGCACCATCATGCACTGGGCACTGTCAAAGGCTCCAGACGTTTCACTAATTAACCTAACTAGACCTGGCTCTTGCCTTCATGGAATTTACATTATATTGCAGGGGAAAGGAACAGAGCAGAAAAAAAAATGAATTAAAGAATTCTGACCAGTGTTATGATGAAAATAATCAGGCAGCTGAGTTGAACAACAGGGTAGGAGGCCGCCTTAGGAAAAATGACCTGAGAGATGAAAAGGGTTTCCAAGAGTGAAAACAGCATGGGCAAAGGCCCTGGGGTAAGAGCTCAACTGGTTTGAGATGCTGAGGGAGGACCAGTGTGGCCAAAGCATAGAAAGTAGGCATGTGGCAGGCCAGGAGCAGGTGAGACAGGTCCTCTAGAATGTGGTAAGAAGGTTGGGGGCTCTTCTAAATGAAGTTGGAAGATATTGAAAGGTATTAAATTGAAGAGGGATATAGTGTGACTCACATTTTAGGAAGACCACTTGGTGCATTGTGGGGAATGACTGGAGGGTAATGGAAGTGAAAGTAGGGAAATAGAAGTTTGTTGTATTTCAGGCAAGAAATAATGGCGGCTGCACTAGGGAGTGGCCAGGCAGAGACAAACATGGGCAAGTAGAAGTGAAAAGTAGAATTGAACACACTTTGTGATATATATGGAGGGTGAGGGAAAGAGGAAGCAAGAAGGGCTCCAAGTTTTCTAGATTGAGTGGCTGAGTTGCCATTCAATGTTGCCATTCACTAAGTGGAAACCATCAGAGTAGTAACCACATGGGGAAAATATTGTGTTCTATCTGGTTAAATTTCAGATGCCCATGACGCGTTTAAGGAGAACAGTCAAGTAGGCAAGTTAGATGTTCCAAGTAGAATCTAAAGCTAAAGATGTAAATATGAGGTTCATCAGCATGAAAATTACATTTATTCATTTGCACATTTTTTAGGATCTTATTTTTAATTAAATGACTATTTTCAGAAACAAAACCTATTACTCATCATGCATTTCACAGGAGTTCTAACTAGAATGGATTATAAACATCACATTATATCAAAAGAAAGAAAAACGTCAAACTGCCCAAGAATTTCCTTTTTAGATTTCATCAGGTTGAAAAATGACCCAAAAGACCAAGTCCACATTGAGGTTAGGATCACCTACCACCTACACTGATGGCATTATTTCCTGTTTCTGGTCAACTTCATAATTTTAATTTTGAAAAGAGAAGGAAATATTCAGTAATAATGAAATAATTTCATGTCTATTAAATATCTGTCATTTTTCTTAAATTGCAAATAATTCATAAGACAATATTTGGTTTAGACTTACAGACCAAAAAAGGAGAAATGCCCCCAAATCTTTCAGGCACCCTTAATACAGAAGTAGCTGTTTGGCTAAATGTCCTTCCAATGACTCCTTCATAATCTGTCTACATATAGTCACTAATTAAGTGCTCTGATGGTTATAGTCCTACTTGTAGCTTTTAAAGATGACTATGGCAAGGGAATTAAGAGGGTCGCCAAAGGCAAACGTGTTTACCAAGCACCATTCAGAAGCTTTTGTAACAAGGAGCCGGCACTGCCTGATGGAATCTGCACTGCCTTGGGTTTGCTCCTGGCACCTTCAACATCTCTAAGCTCTGCCACGACAGCACTGAGTGGGCCTCCCACCTCAGACTTTTCTGTCATCAACAACCTGAGTAACATCTCAAGTTTCTTATTGAAAGTTTTAAGTTTGGCAGTGTCTATGTGATACTGAACGTGACCTTCAGCTCTTTGATCAGAGCAGGTGGCACATATGCTGTTGACTCAACTCTTCATGTCTTGGTGGTGATCACTGATGTCTTAGGTATGAGTCTATACGGGCGATGGCATTGATCATCCCTGTGGTTATAGTTTTGGTCCCAAAGCTCGAGCAGATGCATTCAGTGCTGCTTTCTGTGCTAACTGCAGAACAGCCTGCCAGGACCTCTAGGGTGATAGTCTTTGCTAATCTATCAAATGTTTGAGGAGTCATGATGTTATAATTGGTTTGTTAAGAATAGAGTACAGTATTTGACCACTTGCTCTCAGCTAGGGCCCAGCAATAGCTTTTGAACTCATAGCTTATGTTATGCCACTATCAGTCTTCTGTTTTGGTTCTTTACGGAATATTCCAACTTGATACTTCAATATTAGATGCAGTTGAAATGGAAGTTCCATTAGTCAAAGAGACAAAATTAGAGCTGAAAAACACATGAATTATAGATGTTGTTGGCTACCCAGGTGTTACACCCACTATAGTCCTTGAAACACATTTTCACTTTGATAGTCTTTTTGTGAGTTCCTACGGGTTGACGGCAGCTATCTAAGGACTTTGGTAGGTGGTTAAGGGGAACTGCTGGAGAATGAATGACTGTGGCTTCTCCAGTGACTGTGGCTCATGGTCCTTGAGCATTTTTTCAGTTTGTGTCTTAACCTATGTGAGATTTATTGGCAGGCACGCCCTCTGAGCTAAACCATTCTTTTCCTTATGAAGGAACACATATTTTGTAAGTAGTTCTTTGATATCCTGAGGCTTGGCACCAGGGACTATGCCTGGCTGAAGATCATCCAAATGAACCCACTGGCTTGGATGCTCTGAGGATCAACTTCAAGAAATGGTTACCTGTTACCGCCTGGCCTCCCTAAGCTTGTTCCGCCTGCTCCTCTCTACCCACATGGAAAACCCAGAGATTTCACTGCCTTTCAAGGAAGAAAACTGGCTTTTAAACAAGAACAAGGAAGAAGCAAAACAAGCACAATGACTATACCCATGTTGAGGGGGAGCTCAGAGGAAAACTATGGCTTCAGAAATACCAGTTGGCTGAGACATCTCAGAAACTGTGCCAGATTCCTGGCTGCTTGGCAGTGGAGTTGAGTCAGCTGCTCAGGCGAAGGTCCCAAACTGGTTCTGCTTCCTTCTTCATGCTCTGCAAGTCTAGCCTGGGCATCTATACTGGCTGAGGGATGGCCGTGCAGATAATAAAAGCAGGAGTCCCAGTACCTGCTTCATGACCAATAAATCACAGGTGCTTGAGACCAGTAGCAGGTGTATCCAGCGAGGCTGCAACTCACACGGGGAGGGGACTCACAGCAGAGGTGCTGTGCACCAGGGCACATAAAATACTGCAACAGCCTCTTCTGACAAAAACATTTCTTACATAATCCATCTCTAGTTACAGCGTACTGACACACGGCAGCAAGGGCCCAGAAGGGAGCCTGGCACGGCCAGATAAAGTCAGGGTTTTTTTTTTTTTTTTTTTTTTTTTAATAAGACTCAAGATCAGTAACACAAAAAGCTCAGAGACTGTAGAAGCTTAGCTCCTCTTTTAGCCTGGAACTTCCTTGAGGGAATCAAACCTTGCCAGATAAACCATCATATTCAGAGAACTGGTTCCAGCAGACGATCAGTCCCACACTTCTTCTCTGCTGGAAACTTTAAATCCACCTCCTGTCCCCACCCATTCAAGAGCCAGGACCTCTGAGTTTTGGAATTAACACTAGGGTCTTACATGGCAGCCAGCAAAACACACTTGGGAAATACATGAAATCCCACTTGATTGCATGCCACTGTGCCTGGTATATGATAGGCACTTAGTTTCCCTATCACTTTTATAGCCAAGTGTTACTCTGACTTTCAGAAAATTGAGGGAGAATAAGAGATGGAACTCTCTTCAAAATATTTATTGCAATTTTCCTCCAAGAACTGGATGTGTTTTCTTCTGCCCTCTAACTTTGAGAGAATAAAGCTGAATTATCTAGTTTTGATGGTCAGGAGTATCAGAAAGTTTCCATTAACTTCCTTTTAGAAGGTGAGCAAACCTTGGCCCAAGGAGACTGGCACTTTATGATGGATATCTCCATGGGTCAAACTGATACTGTTGGGCTAGGCGAGGTTCCCGGTTGCCAGTGGGACCTCAACTCCAGCCAATGTCCAGGCTCTTGACACCATCGTGAGAAGAAATTCAAGGATTCAGAAAATAGTGCAAGTATGGAGATTAACTGCAAAGTATAAAGTACACACTCCAGAAAGGAAGTGCTGTACTTCCATCCGTGTACTCAAGAAAGTCACGCAATGGGGTTTAGGGTTGCTACTTCTATGGGTTTTTTTAACCAAAGGGTGGACTATTCATGAGAATTCCTGGAAGCAAGTGATTTCTCTGAACTATGGTGCCAGCCATTTTTACATCAAATATGGGTATTCTCAGAACTGTCATAGTACTAGTGGGTATGTCATTTGTATGTTAATGAACATATAATGAGGTCCTAGGTGAAACCTAGGTCAAATCCAGTGCCATGCTGAGTGCAGTCTGTCTTAGTCAGCTTGGTTCACACACTGGTTTTTCAGGATCTTAGCCCCTAGCCTCTAGTCACGTGAAACTGCTGCCTGCAATCTTTTTATTCTGTGATCATCATGTATTATTCCTGTCTCAAACCAATTTACTGTTATTACTCATACCCTGGAAAGATGGTTCTTTTCACAAAGACCTAGGGTTCTGCCCAGGGCTCCGTGATATCTGACCTATGGTATCCGATTCTTGGAGTTCATATTCTAAGATTGGATAGGAGAGGCAAAGCTTCACTCACACATACTCATTAATGGTGATTATGAAAGGGATGTGAGGAGTCGTGCACTGGGAGAGAATTAGGGGTTTAGGGAAAACTGCGGGAGTGGATTTTAGTATCTGTGATTCCTGATTAACAAAAGCATGGAGAAGCTGCAGCTTTAGTTAATTCCTATGCTCTTGAGCTACACTGCTTTTACCTCATGGATTAGGTGAGATTTCTAACAAGCAGTTTGGGGGAAATGCAATTTCAATGCAAAAGGATTCCAAAATAGAACGCTCCTCAAAGTCACAGTCTAAGGCCTGTGTGCCTCAGAATCTTTTGGGAAATTGATTGAAATGCAGATTCCAGGGCTCCACCCCAGGTCTACTTAATGAGAATCACAAGCATGGACCCAGAGGAATCTGAGCTTTAGAATAAGCTTCTCATGTGGCTCTTAGGCCCAGCAGTGTTTGAGAACTCCTGCTAGAATCCTCAATCAGGGACAGGCCCAGAGTCTTGAATTTTCTTGCACTTAAAGAAAAAAAAATTAAATCAATGGAAAAAACATGGTAGCTTTGTAAAGCTCCTTAAAACTGAGGCAACTGTGTGTACATGAGCTATAATCACACCCACAAGGAGAAAGCTCCCACAGAGCTAGTTGAACAAGATCAATAACCACTGCCAAAACCTATTCTTGCAGAGCTGTCGTGAATAGTGTTAATATTTTAAAGCACCACAGAAGAGTCGGATCTCCAGCCAACTCAAGGAGCCTTTCCAATGTCACTGTCACTTTTAAAGAAAGTGCCTGTCAGGGGGCATTTCCGAATAAAGAACATTTACAGAACACCAAAGAAATACTAGTACCAAAGTATGTGTTTCTGGTATGTTGTGAGCAGTTTGGGTGGAATTACCAGGGGAAGCAGTCCCCTGATACATTTTTATAACATCTATTGAGGCTTGACCAAGAACAATATTTTAAGGAAGCTTTCTTATTTAGTATTTAAATATACTCCATATTTAAATCCATGCTATTTTCTATTTAATATTTAAATATAATCCATATTATGTAATCCATATATTTAAATATTAACTCAGCAAATTAGTTAAATACTAAGCAAACTTTTAGTTTCTTATTGAAAATTTCTCATTTCAATAAGAAAACTTAGTTTCAATCACCTCTCGAACACCCCACCTGTCAATATTATTGCATTGACCCTTAAGTTTCAACATCTGAGTTTTAGAAGAAACACGTACAAAAACTAAAGGTTTTAAGAAAACTAAAAGTTGTCTCAGTATTTAAATATGAATTTTCTTTAAAAAAAATCACAGAAGCATGAAAAGTTGAAAATTATAATTGAAATTTTTTGGTTATATCCTCTCTTTGGTTAAAAAAAAAAGATTTGGGGTAGCCATTCTACATCAGTGAATTTACCAACTGTTTTCCCATAATTGTGAGAGAGATTTACTATGTTGTACCAAAGAGAGAATACTGAGGATTAATACCTTCAAACCAGTACCAGTTAACTTTATTTCTTCCTATCTCAATCCATTTGTGCTGCAGACACAGGGGTGACTTATAAAGAACAGAGATTCATTTTCCTCACAGTTCTGGAGACTGAGAAGCCCAAGGTCAAGTCACCTGCATAGGGGAAGAACCTTCTTGCTGCATTCTCTAGAGGGGAGAAACGTCACGTCCTCACATAGTAGAAGGCAGAAGCCGGAGAGAGCTGAACGTAGTAGAAGGCGGAAGCGGAAAAGAGCTGAACGCTTTCAGAAGCCTCTGTTACAAGGGCCGGAATTACAGTCAGGAGGGAGGAGCCCTCACACATAACCTAATCACCTCTCAAAAGCCCCACCTGTCAATACTAGCACAATGACCCTTAAGTTTCAACATCTGAGTTTTAGAAAGAACACATTCAAACCATAGCCGTCAGGACCCAGTCCATAGAAGCACCTGGAGTTTCCTTCGGTTTGATCTGTTCTGTTAATTAAGAAAATGCCTGAGTGCCACTCCCAGATTCTGGTTTAATGGGTCTATAACCACTCAGTGTGTTCTCCTTGCCTGTTGCCCAAATAGTGAAGATTTATTAAGACAGGGGAATTGCAATAGAGAAGTTTAATTCATGCAGAGCCAGGTGAATGAGAGACCAGAGTTTTATTACTTAAATCAGTCTCCCAGAAAAGTCAGAGGAAGGAGTTTCTTAAGGATTATTTGATGGGTAGGGGCCAGGGAGTAGGGTGTTCTGATTGGTCAGGTTGAAGATGAAATCACAGGAGATCAAAGGGGGTTCTTCTTGCTGTCTTCTGCTCCTGGGTGGGATCATAGAACTGGCTGAGCCAGATTACCAACCTGGGTGGCACTAGCTGGTGCATCAGAATGCAAGGTCTAAAACAATATCTGGAGTACCAGCCTTAGATTTTATGATAGTGATGTTATCCCTAGGAGCAACTGGGGAGGTTCAGAATCCTGTGGCCTCTGGCTGCATGAGTCCTAAACCATAATTTCTAATCTTGTGGCTAACTTGTTAGTCTTACAGAGCAGTCTGGTCCCCAGGCAAGAAGGGAGTTTGTTTCAGAAAAGGGCTGTTATCTTTGTCTCAGGATTAAACTATAAACCAAGTTCCTCCCAAAGTTAGTTCAGCCTATGCTGAGGAATGAACAAGGGCAGCTTGGAGGTTAGAAGCAACATGGAGTTGGTTAGGTCAGATCTCTTCACTGTCATAATTTTCTCATTGTTTTAATTTTGGCAAAAACAATTTCAGATCTGGGTGATTACAATGTTTACCAATGTTGAGAACACTCATTTATAGTCAAAGAAATAGATTTTCCATAAGTTATCAGCAGAGAATAAATTCTCACGAATATAGATGCTTTATAATCTTAGTATAGTCAATGAAATCGATTTTCCATAAGTTATCAGCAGAGAATAAATTCTCACGAATATGCTTTATAATCTTAGTAATACAAAGGTTTCCAAGTTAAGATAGAATTTTCCACCTCCAGTTTTGTGATGGAGAAAAGTCGGTTGTTCTATGCATCCCATAGTTATGTGGCCTAAGCCTTCAGGAGTCTCTAATTCTTCATGAGTCTACTTGAGTAACTTTATGACCTTACATTTGAATGTCTGTGTATTCGTCCATTCTCACGCTGCTAAAAAAGACATACCTAAGACTGGGTAATTTATAAATGAAAGAGGTTTAATGGACTCACAGTTTCACATGGCTGCGGAGGCCTCAAAATCATGGCAGAAGGCAAAGAAAGAGCAAAGGGTCATCTCACGTGGCAGGGGAACTCCCCTTTATAACCATCAAATCTCATGAGACTTCACTATCAGGAGAACAGCCCAGGAAAAACCCACCCCATGATTCAATGACCTCCCATTGGATCCCTTCCATGACACGTGAGAATTATGGGAGCTACAACTCGAGATTTGGGTGGGGACACAGCCAAACCATATCAATCTGCATGTAAAGGGGTATGATTTCTGCTCTCTTTTAAATTAGGCCAGATGACACGTGTAGCTTTGATTATGTAGTGAAACATGTAATCTCCTTGCTTGAGTCACACGGGCAGAGCCTGACACCACATCAAAAGGCCCTGAGTACAGATGAAGTAGAAGGAGGACCGAATGGAAGAATGCCTCTTGTCATTATTCGAGTGCACGATCCCTTGCTCGCCTCTCAACATTCATCTCTCTTTACGTCTTATATAAACCAGCTGTTTCTCATCTCAGTGGCTTTTCTCAAGCTTCTCCTCTGCCCAGTGTCCATTTCTGCCTTCCTTTTGCCCTTATGATGCTTTATTTTCTACTCATCTTTGAATATCTGTTCTGGTTTCACTTCAAGTGGCTTCTCTCAGAAGCTGTGCTTGGCATTCAGAGTGATTCTATAGTGACGCTAATGAGGCTTAAGTTTCAGGGCCACTCCCTTGCATGGGTCCTTTCCAAGGCCCTGGGAGGGCCTTAGCAGTGTTTTCACGTGGCTATGTTTTTAAAAATAAAATCTGTAGATAATATTTTAACCATAATTGTTTTAGACTCTCCATTTCAACTACCGCTCCAAGATGGGTTGGGGGGTACCTCCTCTTGTGATAGGTGGCGTTGGAATGACCAGGACATTTTGGGGAATCAGGGTAAAGGGATGTTGAGTTTGGAATACATTAGTTTGGGTTTTAGTGGAATAATATATTTACATGGTTGTTAATATAGGAAATGGTGTGGCCGGGCACGGTGGCTCAAGCCTGTAATCCCAGCACTTTGGGAGGCCGAGGCGGGTGAATCACATGAGGTCAGGTGTTCGAGACCAGCCTGACCAACATGGTGAAACCCTGTCTCTACTAAAAATACAAAAATTAGCCGGGCATGGTGGCGTGCACCTGTAATCCCAGCTACTCTGGGAGGCTGGGGCAGGTGAATCGCTTGAACCTGGGAGGTGGAGGTTGCAGTGAGTTGAGATAGTGCCATTGCACTCCAGCCTGAGCAACAAGAGCGAAACTCCATCTAAAAAAAAAAAATATATATATATATATATATATATAGGAATGGTGTATTAATGTGGTTGTTAATAATGGAATGGTGTATTAGAGTTCAACCAAAGAAACAGAACCAGTAGGAAATACGAAAATAGATTGACGATCATGAATACATACATAGATACACATATATAGAGACATATTACGAGGACCTGGCTTATGCAATTGTGTCAGACTGGCTAAGCAAGTCCAAAGTTTGTAAGACAGCTCATCAGAAAGGGAAGATTAGGGCAGGCATGGTGGCTCACACGTGTAATCCCATCACTTTAGGAGGCCAAAGCAGGAGGATCGCTTGAGGCCAGCAGTTTGAGACCAGCCTGGGCAACACAGGGACACCTCATGTTTATGAAAAACCAAAAAAATTAGCCAGGTATGGTGGCACATACCCGTAGTCCTAGCTACTGAGGAGGCCAAGGTGGGAAGATTGCTTGAGCCTGAGAGTTTGAGGCTGCAGTGAGCTATGATCATGTTACTGCACTCCAGCATGGGAAACAGAGTGAAATCCTGTCAGAAAGAAAAGAAAAAAAAGAAAAGAAAACAAACAAAAGGAAAGAGAAAGGGAAGGAAAAGAAAGAATGGAAGAAAAAGAAAGGAAGGGGAGGGGAGGGGAGGGGAGAGGATCAGGAGCAAACTGGAACTGGAACTTCATGTGGAACTTCTCGAGCCAAAGCTGTGTTCCATAATCAGAAGCCCTCACCCTCAGGAAAAGCCTGAGCTCAATTTTAAAACCATTCAACTGATTAAGCCAGGCCCTCTCCAGATAATTTCCCTAATTTAAAGTCAACTGATTAGGAACTTTAATTACTTCTGCAACATCCCTTCACAAACCACCTAGATTTATATTGACTTGGTCACTGAGTACCATACTTGAGCCTAGTGAAATGAACACATCAGAAAGCCACTTCATGAATGGGCTCTAGCAATATACCTATCACTCCCTTTGCAAAAACATCCAACTATATTACTAAAAGGTTGAAGGCCAGATTTTACAGAGTACTATTAGCATATCCTAGGGGACCCATGAGCAAAGCAAGTGGGGATTAGAGGAGGAACAAGGTTTGAAATACGTGAAACATGAAGCTAGTCTATAGAAATTATTTTAATCACCAGAGTATAAAAAATCTAAGTAAAAATATCAATTATCAGTTTGAGACCAGCCTGGCCAACATGGTGAAACCCTGTCTCTACTAAAAATACAAAAATGTTAGCCTGGCATGGTGGCAGGTGCCTGTAATCCCAGCTGCTCAGGAGGCTGAGGCAGGAGAATTGCTTGAACCTGGGAGGCAGAGGCTGCAGTGAGCCAAGGTGCACCACTGCACTCCAGCCTGGGAAACAAAGTGAGCCTCCGTCTCAAAAAAAAAAAAAAAAAAAAAAGAAAGAAAGAAAGAAAGAAATTTCAATTATCATCAATGCTTAATCAAAATGGAAGGTTTAAGTAACACAAAAAGAAGGTCTAAGTAATTAAATGAAAGGCGTATTATTGTCTATAATAGACAATTATAAAAGAATTGCATATTTTTCTTTTCTCTGTTTTGATAGGAATGTGGTATTGGAGTTTTGTCAAATATGTCATTTTAACTGCAACTTGGAAAAAACATTTTTGGAACATTTCAGCTAAAACAATTCAGGAGTTCTATAAATACTGGCAGTCTGAAGGTTTGGATGTATAGAAAGTGTATCTTATTTTTAAAATTATTAAAGAAATAGGAAAAATGCATATGAGATTAATGGGGATATAAAATAGCAAAAAATTGGCCATGAAACCAATAGAAATTATTCTGAGATCAAAAAGGAAATAGAAGGGAATTTTCAGATCATTTCCAAAACAATACTTTATAACAAGAGATGTTTCAAATTGAAGTATTGAAGAGATTCTTAGATTCTATAATTTAGCTCCTAAAGAAACGTAAATCATATGAACATATTAGAAAAAGATTTAAACTTTTAGCTCATTTGACATAAAATAACAGCCTTCCCAAAACTCGTAGGCCATTATAAAAATAATATCAATAAACTGATTAATATCATCACATCAAAACCTGTATAATATCATCACATCAAAAACTTATTTCTCTCACACACAAACTCAAAATTAATGTCCTAAATTATTAGTGCTCGTATATGATACCTATTAGGTATCTACTATGGGTATATTGTACCTATTACGTGATAGTTCTCCCATATGTGATAACAATCCTAAAAATTAAACATTATCAATAACAAGTCGTATAGTTGAAATCAGCATTTCTAAACTATCAAATATTTTTTAAATGTCTGATTGACTGTGCTAAAGATGGAATTATCTTTCTATTCCCTCTGCCAAAAATATTACAAAATCATTGCCATATAAGGGAGTGTAATGGTTAATCTCATGTGTCGACATGGCTGGGTCACAGTGCCAAGATATTTGACCAAACATTATTTTAGCGGTTTCTGTGATGGTATTGGATATTAAGATTGTAATTGATGGATTTTGAGTAAAACAGATTACCCTTCATGATGTAGGTGGCTTCATTCAATCAGCTGAAGGCCTGGCCTCCCGCAAGCAAAAAGGAATTCTGCCAGCAGACTGCCCTTGGACTTGAACTGCAACCCTTCCCTGGGTCTCCAGGCTGCTGGCCTGCCCGGTAGATTGTGGACTCCTCAAACCTTCATAATTGTGCAAGCCAATTCGTCAAAATAAATCTCTCTCTTCCTTCCAAATACACACACACACATGTATACTGCACACACACATATACCGTACATACACATATATATATGCCACACATGCATATACTGCACACACACAGGTATACTGTACACACACTGTACACACGTCACACATACTATACATACATACATACTTTAAACTTACTGCACACACATATATACTGTATACACATATGTACTGCACACATGTATATACTGTACACACATATGTACTGCACACATGTATATACTGTACACATATACTGTACACAGATATAGAATGCATGCATGCAGTGTACACACATACTGTACACATACATATATGCTGCACACACACATACTGTACAGATATATACCACACACATATATACTGTACACACTGTACACACATACACATGTCTATACATACATACTGTATATGCACACATATATACTGTAAAAACACATATACTGTGTGCACATATACTGGATATACTGTACACACATAGATATCTACTGCATGCACACACATATATACTGCACACAAAGATGTCTACTGTAGGCACGCACATATACTGTACACACACAGATATACTGCAGATATCTATGGCATGCACACACATATATACTGTACACACATATACTATACACATATATACTGTACACATCCATACTGTACAAATATCTACTGCATGTACTTATATATATACTGTACACACACAGATGTCTACTGTAAGCACACACATACTGTACACACCCATACTGTACACAAATATACTGCACACATACTGTACACACATACGTACACACCCATGTACTGTACACGCATGTATATACTGTACACACATATACTGTACACACACACTATACACATACACATATATTCAATTGTTTTGTTTACCTGGAGAAGATATTGGAAAATATCTTTCTGTTGTTTAAGCCACTCAGTCTGTGGCATTTTATTATGACAGCCCAAGCAAAGTAATAGGAAGTACATCAGGAAGGTAATTACTAAAAATAATGTGTAACTGTCCCCAGTGTGTGATGTTTGTTGCAGTTACCAGCTTTTAATAATTTGCAACTTCTCCTGATTTCTTTTCTTGTTCTGAATACATTTTCACTTTTGTACCTATTTTTTAATATTCTTTTTTTTTTTTCTGAGACAGGGTCCCACTCCGTGGCCCAGGCTGGAGTGCAGTGGTGTGATCACAGCCCACTGCAGCTTTGAAACTCCTGGGCTCAAGGGATGCTCCCACCTCAGCCTCCTAAGTAGCCGGGACTACAGGCACTTGTCACCATGCCCGGTTAGCTTTTTAAAAGCTTTTTGTAGAGACAGATTCTCACTATGCTGCCAAGTCTGGTCTTGAACTCCTGGCCTCAAGCGATCCTCCTGCCTCAGACTTCCAAAGATCTGGGATCGCAGGCATGAGCCACCACACCCAGCCTTTTTCTTAAAGAGGGCCCCCAAGAGCAACATCTCCAGGCCCCACAAAACCTGGTTCTGCCCCTGCCAACAGCCATCTCTGCATTTCTTGCTGCTTCATTAATACCTTAAGCACATTCTACCAATGCATCTGCCATATGGTTATTAAATGATCTGTTTGTGGTCTGGACGGCCACTAGACTGCACTTTGTGGACGGGCCCTGCTTCTTACCTGTATCTGAACATACAGGGGTGAGGGCAATGCCTGGCACATGTATTACATGCTCAAGAAATATTTAATGAAAAAATGAATAAAGGGATAAACGGATGCAGGAGTGAATACTGAGAAATGGATGTGTCATGTGTCCACCAGTCTGTACTGATATCCACATCATTTTCAGAGTTCAGCTTACAAACAATCCACACTGTTTGAGTTCAACTGGGAAAAAACAGCCCTAAGAATTTTCCAGCTCCTGAACCCTGATGAAAACCTCAAGCAAGTGCAATCACATAAATTACAACCAGCAAAACCAAAAACAAATGAATAAATGAACAACACAGAAACTGCTCTTCTCTACCCAATACCTCCCGCTGGCTCCACCAAAAAATATCCTTGCTATTTTAGTACAATACTAAAGAGATACACACGACTTATCTCGTTGAGTATGTGTTTGGGTGGATAATATGAGAGTGTGAAATACAATACTCAGCAACCCTGTCAAACACAGACTGTTTCCTGAAATGATAAGACATTTAGTCTGAGATATATGTTGCACAGAGTCCAAAATATTTTCTGTGAAACTGCAGCTCTGAATTATAATGAAAAAGATTTGTGTAAAGAATTTGTAAACCGTACTCACTCAAGCATTTCTTCTTATTCCATATTTCTAATTCTGTCTTTTATCTTTGAGGGGAAAAAATTAGCTAGCTAGCTAGCTAGCTAGACAGAAGGAAAGGGATTGCCTTAGTGTAATTCACCACATACTGCTTTGACACTGCAACCACTGTTTCCACTGGAACTTCTAGTTGAACTTGCTTTGTTCTTACCAAGAAAACGAAAAGCAACTTGATTTCTATTATTTGAGGTGTTGAGTGGAGTTGTTTGTGCTCAGAAACCTTTCCAACAGTTGCCCACATACTTTTTTTATTTTTATTTTATTTATTTATGTTTTTTTGAGACAGAGTCTCACTCTTGTTGCCCAGGCTGGAGTGCAATGGCACGATCTCAGCTCACTACAACCTCCGCCTCCCAGGTTCAAGTGATTCTCCTGCCTCAGCCTCCTGAGTATCTGAGATTACAGGTGCCCACCACCATGCCCGGCTCATTTTTGTATTTTTAGTACAGGCGGGGTTTCACCATGTTGGCCAGGCTGGTCTTGAACTCCTGACCTCAGGCAATCTGCCCACCTCGGCCTCCCAAAGTGCTGGGATTACAGGCGTGAGCCACCACGCCCAGCCTACTTCTTACTTCCTATTTGTTTCTAAGTTGGAGTATTGGAAACTCCACCCTACCCCAAATACTATGCTGTTTCTTATTCTTTTTTGAATGATTGACTTTCTTGAGAATCTAGCTGTAGAATCTTTCCAGAAAAATATAGGCACAAAACAAACATGACATTTTGCCCTGCAATTTGGGGGCCTTCCTAGACCCCTTAAAGCCATCCAAGGAGTCCCAGCCAGTGATTCTAGGTAAAGACTCCTGCTCGTGGGCAATCTCATTAAAAAGTGAAGGTGAGCTGGCAGTGTGGTACCTGTGTGAGATATTGATATGGTTTGGCTGTGTCCCCACCCAAATCTCATCTTGAATTGTAGCTCCCATAATTCCCACATGTTGTGGGAGGGACCTGGTGGGAGATAATTGAATCGTGGGGGCGGTTTCCCCCATACTGTTCTTGTCGTAGAAAATAAGTCTCAGGAGATCTGATGGTTTTATAAGGGCAACCCCTTTTGCTTGGCTCTCATTTTTCTCTCTTGTCTGCCGCCATGTAAGATGTGCCTTTTGCCTTCCACCGTGATTATGAGGCCTCTCCAGCCACGTGGAACTGTGAGTCCATTAAACCTCTTTTTCTTTATAAATTACCCAGTCTTGGGTATGTCTTTATCAGCAGTATGAAAATTGACTAATACAGATGTAAAACCTCCCAAATATTTCACAATATACCTCAAACTTTAAGGCAAAATTGTTAAGCGAAAAGAAATCATTAAAGGGAGAAAAGGATACTCTGAATTCTGATTCTCAATAGTATTAGTGGCTTTGATTGTTGAATTCTGATTGAGTCCATGTTATAGAGGAAGATCTGGCAAAATCATTACGGTAAAAAATTCATTTTACACACAGCATTTTAGCAACACTCCTTTTCAAAATAGTTCATGAGTTTCATTTAAAGAATTTCTCTACAAATAATATCATAAGTGTCAAGTTAAAGTGTAAAGTGAGTGGATAAATACATCTCATTTAAAAGCAAATTTATACTAAGATCACCAAAATGCAAATCTATTAAAAATAGACCTTGTCTTTAATGTTTATTTCACATTATCTAAGTACATCCAGTTATGCAAATTTACAGTTTTATTTCACATCCTTGTATTCCTGATATACATATAACAGGACAAAGAACACATTTGCAACACTCAGCCTGTAAAACTCTCTTGGGGGAAACAAGATTCTCAGCTGCCTTATTCTTCTGCACATGTACAAATAAAGTTCTAAATAATTGGAGTGGAAATAAAAACTGGTAAAAGAGAAAACTGACTACATTTTTATGCCACTTGAGGAAATTTGTACCTGACTTTTCAAATGGTCTTCTACTTGCTGAGTTACAATTTAATAGGTAACACATTTTGGGAGCTCCTTAAAATATGCCAAGAAGCTTCATTGTTTCTAGAGTGCTTAAAATCCACATGAAGCTGACATCAGCTACCCATCACTAATGCTTAGATGTGGTGCTGTGGTGCTGTGCATTTATCTAAAATATTTTAAAAGGTAGTAATCAGCATTGTTATCCCTCTTTTATGAAAATATCTTGCCAGGCTAGAAAACAAGCAATTATTTCTTCAATTAGGCAAAGGAAAAAAGGACAGACCAGTACAATTCAGTACTCATTTTAAAGAAAACAATCACATTGAACTAAAAATTTTAAATTTCAGTTACAATTTTATGAAATTCAAATATCTCAGAATCGCATTGAGGTACTAGATGACCGAGTGTTCATTCTGTTCAATATTGCCCACGAGATCTTTCATATCACTAGTTCCTGGGCTTGACTGACTGTTAAAATACAGAGTGTTTTCAAAGGCGCCCTCTTGAGGTAGGTGCACACGTCTTTTCTTATAAAAGAAATAGGCGGCAAGGCCAGCACCCGTTAAAATCAGGAGGATCACAATGATGACTACTCCGGCCACGTTGGAAGACGGTTTAGAAGGGTCCATCTTCCTTGTGTCAGCTATAAATAAATAAAATCATTATGGAAAACGTGGAGGGAGGCAGAGGGTTGCATGCTATGCAGAACTTCGCTTGTTGAAAAACTAAAAGGCATAAATATTCTTTCAAGCGACATTTGTCAAACAGAAAAGAAAGATGTGAAAACAAGAGTCCCTGTGGTATAGAGGATTATTCAGAATGTTAAGATGATTATTCAGTTGCAAGAATAATCCATCTGTCTATGTAGCAGTGGGCTAGTTCATCAATGTATTAAAATATATATACCTTATTTCAAAATAATTTAAGGCTGTTAAAAATACAGTATAAGAAGATAAGTAGATTAGTAATGATAATAATTAAAAGAAAATGGAAATGAAGAGAAAAATAAAATAAGAATAGTGGAAACGTGAACTCATAGATGTAATTAGTAAACAAACGGCACTCATGATGTTAATAAGGAGGTTACAGGCAAGCCATAAATCTCACTTTCAGTTTTTTTTTAAGCAGCCAACAAAATGAGTGAAGTGAAATCAGTTACCTAATTCAAGTAGTCTATAAAAATTAAAACAAAAAAAAAATTCTAAGAAAAGAAAAAAACCCACAGAGATTCTTAAGAGAAATTTCTTCCATGGGTTCAAGGCAGCTGTTTGTAACAGAGCGAAAAAAAAAAATGCCTTCAATAACTGCTTATAGTAAAAACACCAACCTGACTCCAAGGCCTCTTTTTCTAAAGTATTATTCAAAGTAGGCTGATGACAAAGGATAGTTTAGCTTAAGCAAATTCTACTGAGAGAGCAGGGGAGTTGGAAGGGATTATGATTATGCCTTTTAAAACAAACAGTACGGATGTATTACTAACACAGAACTTGAAATTTTGCAATGGCCTTACCTTTTGTTGTAAGTAATTCATGAGTAGGTTTAGCATCAATAACTGTGTGTAAAAAAAAAAAAATTTATAAAAACCCAGAATAATTGCAGGTAGATAGCAAATATTATTTGGCTCACAAATACATGGAATCCTCCACATTTGATGTGTGTTGATTGATATATGATATTATGATATGATAGATATAAAAATACAGGTAGAAAAAAAAGATCTGTACCTTTATCTATATATCTACCTACCTATCATCTATCTGTCTCTCTGTCTGAGCCATAGCAGTTGCCTATGGTTGTATGGTGCGTTTGAGTACATTAGAAGATCTGGAAATGTGATTCTCCAAGTTACATTTGAGCCACTGATACTCACCCTTAAAACCTACCCAATCTACCCATAAGTAAAACATTCAAGGCTAGGGGTTTTGAAATTAGCCTGCTGAAGCCTAAGATGTTAAAAAGCATTTGAATGAAAAGTAAAATAAGACTCCAGGCCAGGAGTGGTGGCTCACGCCTGTAATCCCAGCACTTTGGGAGCCTGAGGCAGGTGGAACACCTGAGGTCCGGAGTTCGAGACCAGCCTGGCCAACATAGTGAAACCCCATCTCTATTAAAAATACAAAAATTAGCTGGGCATAGTGGCGTGCGCCTGTAATCCCAGCTACTTGGGAGGCTGAGGCAGGAGAATGGCTTGAACCCAGGAGGTGGAGGTTGCAGTGAGCCAAGATCACGCCACTGGCAACAGAGTGGGCAACAGAGTGAGACTCTGTCTCAAAAACAAAAACAAAACAAAAAAAATAAAACAACTCCAACATTGTACCAGAGGATGTGGTGTGTCTTAGAACAGTTAGAGAAGCCTAAAGACCCGCCAAATTCTAAAATGGTAAACTCTACCCCGTCTCTACTAAAAATACAAAAATTAGCCGGGCATGATGGCATGCTCCTGTAATCCCAGCTACTCGGGAGGCTGAGGCAGGAGAATCGCTTGAACCCAGGAGGTGGAGGTTGCAGTGAGCCGAGATCGCACCATTGCACTCCAGCCTGGTGGCAGAGCAAGATTCTGTCTCAAACAAACCAACAAACAAAAAACCTCTATTATCTAATCAGTAATGTATTGGGAGGGATATTATGTGACATGACATATCAACAAAATATTTTTAAATTCCAGATAGAGGCACCTTGTGAGCATTCAACACTATCAATTCCCCAATCCTGTTCCTTTCATGGTCTCACTTTCCATCTTAAAAGGAGACTGAATTAGTCTGACGTGACTCATTCCACAATCAATTCTGATCCCTCTCCAGAACCCTGGTCTCCTCAGGTTTGGGCTGGTACTGGCTTTACCACCTTTTCCCTCATGCAATAAGGCTTTGTAGATGGGCTCTCCTGACTGTTTGCAGCTTGGCAAATCCTTCAGATATCCCATTACAAATGCACTGATAAACAAAAATCAATACAACAGCTAAGCAGACAGAGAGTGTCTCTCACTCACGCAGAGCTGCAAACAGTAATGAACTACAACGGCAGAATGGATTTTTCACGGATGAAAGGACAGAGCTTCCAATGGCCTCGTAATCACATTATGATTCCATACCTGATATCTTACTATTTGAAAGAAATGGCAGCCAGTGATATGCACCATGCAACAAACTTCTTACTTACTTTTTGGTCTTTTACAAATATATCCTTTGTAGGATGAACAGTGAATATTACTCCAAAACCCAGAAGACGCATGTAAAGCTACACAATCATTCCGTTCACCAGAGGGATCTCCTGTGTTCCAGTTGACAAAGGAGACCGGACTGTTATTTATCCACAGCCACGTCCCTGGTCATCAGATAAAACCAATAAAGACAAAAGTTAAATATAACCTATCTTAAAATAAGTTCAGCCAATTTATGTGAAATTTCTAAGCATATTCTTTTATACTAGAATCAATAGTCATTTATAACCAGACTTAACAGGCAAGACTATAATGACTAATTATTACAGGGAAGGAAACGAAAAAGAATAGGTTTACCGTATAGCTTTAGTTAAAACCGTATTTCTAATTAGTACAAATATTTATACTTATCCTTTCCTTAGCATTTTTTTCCTGGCCCCACGAAAACATAGAAAATGCTTTTTAAAGCTCCTCAAACTATCTTAGCTACAAAAGATATTTTTTAATTAGCAACTTTGAGGATAGCATGATATGAAACTCATTTTAAATTTCAGTTCTTAAATAAAAATATGAGTTTGAATTTTCAAATTCCTCATGAATTAATCATTTTTAAGGCAACACATTTTGGAAACGAAACCTTGTTTTACATACAACATTTTACAATATTTGTGATTAAATAAGCATGCTGCAAAAATTACCTTCAACATTTCTGAACAATCCTATCCAAAAATTGGTTTTACTTTTAAGTGGCTCAACCCGATATGACAGAAAACTGGATTCTGCAGCACTTTCAATGGAAACCAGAGAGGAACCTAGAAAGCGTAAAAGGATAAATATGATAGCTGCACATTTAAGTAGCTGAAAATATTTTTGTAAACAGCACTGCTATTGAGAGCAACAAAAATCAGCCTAACATCTCCACTTAAGGGGAAGAATTTCAAAGGGCAGGTGTTTGTTTCCTCAGAATTTTAGTTTTCATTCTGAAATACGTTTTTAAGCATCATTAGCATCATTTGAGTACAAGCACTGAACTAGTTCCTGCAGGATAGTCAAAGATTAGTAGGATGTAGAGTATGTCTTCCAAAAGTTATGGTTCAGTGGCCAGTAACAAGAGTACAAAGAAATATTATAGAAGAGAAATTAAGTGCCATATGCTATAGACATGTGAAATATTCATTCTTGGTGAAGCAGATAAAAGGGAGGATAGAGGAAACAGAATTTCAGTAGAGAGAAGAATAGGATTTCAAGTAAAAAGGATAGAAAATAATTCCAGGAAAAAGAGGTAATAAGAGGAAAGACAAAGAGGAAGGGAAGCATAGAACTTCTTCAGGAACAGAGATAGCTTGGTTTGGCTGGAGTATAGCACCAATCTGGTCCACAGGCAAAAAAAAAAAAAAAAGACATGGGTTAGGTCTCGTTGCAGAAGACCAGAGATTGGTATTAAGAGCAATGTGGTGATAAAGAACACCAAGTTTTTTTTTCAGGCAGCTGAATGATGCAATAACCCATCACCTTGCTTTGACTGGTCCTATACATAACAGTTAGATTCTTCACCTAAGAATGGTCCTATATTAGTTATTATTAGAATCCAGCTGTTATGTATAGGACCATTCAAAGCAAGGAAATAAAACAGAAAGACCAGTTAGATGGCTATGGAAGTGACAACCCACATTAGATTGTCAACATTAAATTTTAGAGTAAAAATCTCTAGCTTTTTAATAATAACTAATATCTTTTAAGCATTTCATTCTGGACATTTTGCTTTGGACTTTACAAGCATTAACCCATTAAATTTTCCAATCACTTCATTAAATAGGTACCATCTTTGCCCCATTTTATAGCTAAGGAAACTAAAGCACAGAGGATGAGTAATCTGCCAAGATCCTAACAGTAGCAGAGGGAAGATCATGGTATGACCCAGGCTTTCTGAACCTTGAGGGTCCGTACCTAACCATATGCCTGTATCCCATATTACTGAGTTCTGAATTATCGCCTTGTTTTCACTGCATGACTACATAATCCATTATTAAATATATTTCACAAACATTAGCCGTTTCAAAATATTTATGACTCATATTTTGAGAATGAGAATGAGAAGCATTCATTTTATTTACCAGAAAAGAGTCATCTAAAATGGAAAACAAAGTTTCTACATATTCATTGCAATTTTTTTCAAAAAAAATACTTAGCAATATGAAGAAAACATTTTTTTAATTACAAAAGTTCAAACAAGGCATCAGGTGACATCATGAGAAATGCAGAATAAGTTCTTCTGAAAATTATTTTTTCTATAAAACCAATGAGAACACTGGAAAACTCTAAATCCACTGTTTCAGAATGCTGAAAATTAATCAAAGGCTTGCAATAATTCAAGAAGCATTTATGCAAGAAAAATGACTGTGTCTTGGTAATGATAGTGAGTTTTATAGTGTTTTAACTTGTCCTAATCCCTCTGCCTTCTTTCCAGTTCTGCTGTAGCCTTAAAAACCAACAGCCCCACAACCACAGTGAAAACCAGTAGCCTAGAAGCCACAGGAGAGGCTAAAATGGGGTTGGAGCTCTTTCCAAGCCCCATTCTCAGAGAATCTCCATTACTTGACCTGTCTTACAGTTCCCTAGAAAACCCCACTCGCAAAGCTTGTCTTTATTTGACCTGATTCAGAGCTCAGTCAGTGCAAACAGACTTTTCCCTTCAAGTGTTTGTAAAAAACTATCAGTGGCAATTGTCTAACATTGTAACCATCTAAGGCAGTGATAATAGTTGGGGCAAACAACTAGCGAATTGAAAAACTTAAAAGGAAAAGCTAGGGAATGGGATGTTCATAGGAGACTTTAAAAAGCATTGACAAATTCCGGGGAATGTAGAAGGCTACAGATATGCATTGAAGTGTGCCCTTGCCCAAGGCTATGTGCATGTCTGAGAAAGACCTGAGAAGGTCCTAAGTTCTTGCATCTGGCTGAAGATGCACTACACAAGCAGGAAGTGAAAGCTAAGGCAGTTTGTAACTGCTTGGACAAATATTAAAGGCACATCCCAACACACAGACAGATCCTCTGCAAAACCTGGGAGACTTCATTAGTTCTAGGCACTTAAAGAAATCTGCACCTACCACATCTAACACCACATGTATACACATCACGATAAAACTACCAAAAGACAGAAAGTCTTAAAATCTGTGAGAGAGAAGGGTCTCATCATGTACAGGGATCTTAACACTAATTTCACATTAGAAACCATGGCGTCCAGCAAGCGATGAGCTGACATCGTGAAAAAGATGAAAGAAAATGACTGTCAAGCAGGAATTTTCTATTTAACAAAGCTATCTTACAAAAAATGAAGGAAAAAGTCAGACATTCCTAAACCAAAATGAAAAGAAATTATCACTTTAAGAACTACTGAAGAAAATACTTCCAGTGGAAATAAAAGGGCACTCAACAGTAACTCAAACCCACACAAAGAAATAAAGAGCATCAATAAAGGAAACTACAAGGGTAAATATAAAAAATAGTTTAAATGTGCTTTTTATGTATAACTCTATCTTTTCTAATTGAAAGATAACTGTGTAAAACAATACTTGTAAATCAGTGCTTATGGGTATGCAATGGATAAAGTTGTTTTTGTCTGCCAATAACAGCACAGAGGAAGGCAGAGGGAATGGAGCTACATAACAGCAAAGTTTTTGTACACTATTAAAATTAAATGTTTATATGTATATTAATATGAACCAGATTTTTTTCTTTTGAAATGAAGTCTCGCTCTGTTGCCCAGGCTGGAGTGCAGTGACGTGATCTCAGCTCACTGCAACCTCCACCTCCTGGGTTCAAGTGATTCTCCTGTTTCAGCTTCCCAAGTAGCTGGGATTGCAGGCACCCACCACCATGCTTGGCTAATTTTGAACTAGATTTTTGTAAATTAACATGTTAGTTGTAATCCCTAGGGCAACCACTAAGAAATAACCAAACGATATATAGTAAAAGAAACAACAAGAAAATTAAAATGGAGGCCAGGTGCAGTGGCTCACACCAGTAATCCCAGTACTTTGGGAAGCCGAGGCAGGTGGATAACCTGAGGTCAGGAGTTCGAAAACAGCCTGACCAATAATGTGAAACTCTGTCTCTACTAAAAATACAAAAATTAGCTGGGCAAGGTGGCATGTGCCTGTTGTCTCAGCTACTTGGGAGGCTGAGACAGAAGAACTGCTTGAACCTGGGAGGCAGAGGTTGCAGTGAGCCAAGATTGCACCAATGCACTCCAGCCTGGGCGAGGGAATGAGACTCTGTCTCAAAAAAAAAAAAAAAAAAAAAGAAAAAAAAAGAAAAGAAAAAGAAAATTAAAATGATGGTACACAAGAAATTATCTAGTTAACACACAAGAAGGCAGTAATAGAGGAATAGGGGGACCATAAGACATATAGAAAACAAATGGCAAAATGGCAGACATAAATTCTACCTATCTATAATTACATTAAGTGTAAATGGAGTAAACACTACAATCAAAAAACATAGACTGGCAGAGTGAAAATTAATTAATAAGAAAGATCCAACTATGTGCTGTCTAAAAAAGACGCTTGAGATTCAAAGACACAAATAGGTTGAAAGTAAAAGCATGGAAAAATATATGCTAAGCAAACAATAGCCAAAAAAGAGCTGGAGTGGCTACACAAATATTAGATAAAATAGACTTTTAGATAAACATTAGTACTAGAGACAATAAAGACATTTCATAGGAAAAAAATTTTTAATACATCAAGAAGATGTAATGAGTGTAGACGAATATGTACCTAACAACAGGGCCCCAAAGTACATGAATCAAAAACTGACAAAGCAAACTTCAATTAGCAATAATCGTGCCTCGGATAAACCTCATCGGCTAAGATACTGCCACTGTACAAAGCTAAAGCAAACTTCATCTCACTCAGAATTTAAAGTCAAAAGTCAGGTTGACTTTTGAAAGAACGTGGAGAAAATGAGGTTATAAACTGTGCGTACCACTGTTGGATGGAGAACTCTTGAGTTAGGGCATAAAAAACATGAAGTAAATATAATTCAGTAAAATATTTAACGGGATTTAACTAAGTGGCTTTTAAATGTACCCTTAAAATAAACTTTATTTGACATTTTTCACTTCAGGTGGAAAAATCATTCATCTTTGTGGTGTCTATTTGAGTTTTATTTGTCTTCACAAAAACAATAAATAGAAATACTTTTCTATTAATGGTACAACAAAACAGTTCCTGGGCACTTGTAAAACTTCAGCTTACCAGTGATAAGAGGTGAGTACAACACTTGGAATAACTGAGGATGAGAATCCTAACAATTTACAACATGAAGTCTGAAAGGAAGAAACCATTTAGAATACGCTGTTTTCTACCCGAATTCTCTAAATTCTCTAAAATTTGAGGCTACAAACTTAGAGATTACATTTGGGAAGCATGATATTGGCCATTCTGTTATAAAATAAATCATTAAAAATATAAACAGGTATTTTTACATTCTTTGTATATTTCATGTATAGTGTCAGTGGACCCCAGAATAGATGATTATGGAGTTTTCCTTCAGGAAATGTGGCACTCACCCATTCGAAGACATTCCAGAGAAGCTTGGCCCCAGTTTCTTGTATATGAGGACTCAATATAGTAACAGTGACCATGGAAAGGAATCCATGCTGTGTGATCTGACTCCGGGCATCTGCCAGGCAGTTGTGGGGGTTCAGTAGCAGGGATTTCTGTTAATAAAAACACATTTTAAATAAAGCAAAACCTGAAGTTTCTGTAGTGTGTAGCATCATACATTAGCAGCTACAAAAACTGATCATTGATCATTATTTTAAAAAATCTTCCAATGGTTATCATTTGGATCACCATATTTATTATTGGGTTTCCTTTTATCAATGTTTTCCACTTTAAATATATTTCAATAGAATGTGCTATGGTATAGCGGCAGTCAGTTACACTCATAGTTAAGACAATCGATCTATAGATACCTACAAAGATAATTTTTTTTTTTTTGAGACGAAGTCTTGCTCCTGTCCCCCAGGCTGGAGTACAATGGCGCGATCTTGTCTCACCGCAACCTCTGCCTCCCGGATTCAAGTGATTCTCCTGCCTCAGCCTCCCGAGTAGCTGGGATTACAGGTGCCTGCCACCAGACCCAGCTAGTTTTTGTATTTTTAGTAGAGAAGGGGTTTCACCATGTTGGCCAAGCTGGTCTCAACCTCCTGACCTCAGGTGATCTGCCCGCCTCGGCCTCCCGAAGTGCTGGGATTACAGGGGTGAGCCACCGCACCCGGCCCAAAGATAAATTTTCTAAAAGTCACCACAAAGTAATTTGTAAAGTGACTTTCCTTTTTTAAGTCACTGTTTTCCTTTTCTGGGATCCTAATTCCTACAACCCTTTCTTAGCTATTAATAGCACCTGGGATTAACTAAAGGCTATATTTAGAATTCTAGTATGGTGTCCATCATTGACTCTGATGAATCTACATGTATTCTGATAAAATTCCTTTGATATAGATGTGTTGTCAACATCAAAAGTAAGCAAAATTTCCTGGGGAGATGTTTATCTCCATTATTTTGATCTATGTATGTTGGTTTATAAAGATAGTCTTTTGATAGGTGAGGGAGTATGTTCTATATTATTCTTAGCTATCCAAGACACATTACTGTTTAATAATATCAACAGTGGTATGTAGTAGCTTATTCAGAAATTTTCAGATCCCCTGACTGTTTTTATATATTCAATTACCATCTGATCTTTTACAGAGAAAGTAAAAACTTTCATTGCAATGTGCTGTCTTCCAGTAGCCATCAAGATCCAGATAAACACATGCTGATTTCAATTTGGGCTCATCAGCAGCCCAGTTAGTGTACCTCACCCTCCACTTATCAGTCCAAGTGTATTGATTATCAGTCTGCAACGACAAAAACAAGCATTAACATGCAGCCTTGCTTCATTTAGAAAATACTAAAAGAACCAATTCAAGAATACAAAGTATATTTAAGACCATGATTTGACATAGAACCTGGAACATTTGAGAATAAAAAGAACACTATAAATCATTTCTGTCAACTCAAATTCAGTACATGCAGCCTTTCTTAGAAACAGTTATTTCTTAGAGATCCCCAGGAATACATCCTTGGAAGTTATTTCAAAAAACACTAATAAAAAAAAATTTATCTCTTATTCCGTGAAACTCCCCTTGTTTGCAGGTTTTCAGGGCAAAAGAGAAGTTTTATCTTCATAACAAATAAGATATTTCTTATATTATTATTGAAATTATAATAAAAATTAAGTAATTTTCATTAAATTCATGGACACCTGAGAGAAATGCTCATCTCTTCATATCTTCTCATTATTCTGTTGTTGAAACAGCACCAATGGTAAACGGCTTAGCTAAGGTCATGGAAGAGAGGTATGGAAGAGAGGTAAGGGTATGGAAGAGAGAAGCCTTAGTCTCTTGATTTCTAGTGAGGCAGTCTTTCAGCTATATTCTAGTGAGGTGGTCTTTCGGCCATATGACATCACATATATATGATGTAAAAAGCCAGTCATTTTAGTCTACTTGCACAGTCAATTTCTTTCTTTTTTTTTTTTTTTTTTTGAGAGAAGTCTCGCTCTTGTCCCCCAGGCTTGAGTGCAATGGCTCGATCTAGGCTCACTGCAACCTCCACCTCCCGGGTTCAAATGATTCTCCTGCCTCTGCCTCCCAAGTAGCTGGGATTAAGGCACTGCCACCATGCCCGGCTAATTTTTGTATTTTTTAGTAGAGACGGGTTTTCACCATGTTTGCCAGGCTGGTCTTGAACTCCTGACCTCAGGTGATCTGCCTGCCTCAGCCTCCCAAACTGCTGGGGTTACAGGCGTGAGCCACCGTGCCTGGCCTGCACAGTTAATTTCTTATTAAATTTAGTGAAACAAATTTATGATCACATACAAAATATTGATAAACATCAAAATATTATTTATCAATAATATCCTTTTAACAGTCTAATAGAGATTTTACAGGTATTGTTTAAGAATAGATGATATATAATATTAATCAGAGGTAGCTGAATTTTTCAAAGATTCAAGCAATTATCACCCTTTTGACTGCATTATTTAATTTACGAAGCCAATTGCCAAAAATCCAGTGACAAAAATTAGAAGTATGTTATCTCAAATTAGAATTTTGTAGTATTATACCATATTTAATCAAATAATGCTTGTATAATCATTAACTCTATAGAAATAAGGAAGATAATAATACTGTTGTAGTCATAAATATTGCCACAATGAAAAACTATTTAATCTTTCTAAAAATAAAAGCTTACTTTAAACTCATAAGAGAATCGTGAACATGTCTGTGAGAAGAAAACAAATGACTTATCAAATGACTTAATTATAAAAACTTAGTCAACAGCGACGTAAAAATGTCTTGCCTAAATTTAATCACAGAAATCATTCTGAAACTACTTACTTTTAAATACACACTTCCCTACTTAGGAAATACTCATTGTATAAATTGTAAATTTCTATCTCTGCATCATGGCCTTGGAAGCTTCATAACATCTGACACTCATCTACTCTCCAGTTTATCTCCTTTTTTTTTTTGTCTTCTTGATATTCCTTCCTTATGTTCTACCATCCTAGACTATATCTATAAACTTTGGCTTTTTCTGAGGAACCTTCTTGGTCCTCCCCACTAGCCCAACTGGTCCCTTTTCTCTCTTCTCATGACACTTTCTATATGCCTCTCTTTGATACTTCTTATATCTTAATTGCTGACTGTCATATCTACTTCTACTAGGAAGCTTGCTGGTTGGCTAGCTAGAAGGATGAATAGAGGGAGGACAGATGCATGACTAGGCATCAGAGAAGACTCATTTTAGGAATAATTTGGCAACTCTATCAGCATTCTTAGTTTTCTGCCTCTTCCCTAGTCTTTGCCAACCTTAGTCTATTATGGAATACAAGGAACTGACTGCAATGAAATATTTCTCACAAATGGATGGGAGCTCCACAACCTCAGGACCTACAACAAGTCTAGAACGTCTTGCCACAACAAAAAAAAATTGTCCCCATCACTGGCAACTATGTCCCTAACCTGCTTTCTTAATTCTCATGCCATAGTTACAATCATGACCTTGGAAGCAATAAGCGAATAAATTAAACTGTTGAGATTTGGAATATAATTTTCATAGTCTAATGCAATAGGAGAGTTAACATTCATCAGATAATTCTTAGTTTGATTTCTGACACATATCACTAGCTTGCCAGATCCTTAAAGGCATCACGTCCCTGAAAGATTGGATCTTGTTGATGTTAGTATCATTCACATTGCCTAGCACAGTCTCTTACACATAATGAGTATTCAACAGAACAAACAGAAAGATAATCATATTCAACCATAATTCACTGATCATGTCAAGTTGCACATATTTCCAGCATCTTACCAAGTTACTGTTCAGGGCGATCCACACACGTTCATTAGATGTTTCCATCTGCAGCCACGCAAATGCATTACTGTAGGGATCCAGAATGCTGGCTATAAGGGAATTGTGAAGCTTGCAGTATGTCTCCGCTTCATGCCATTGAAATTTTTGTCTCATGAGTGAATAGCTGCTTTTGCCATATTTAACAAAGCCATCTGTTTGAATCGTTGCTGGAGGATTAGTCAAGGAAGGGTCTAGATAAAAACATTATTTTCATTAGCATTATCAATAAACAGTAATTGAGCCTTATCAGTAATGATAAGTGTATCTCATCTATCATAAAAATAAGCAAAGTAGCATAACTCCAAACATTCAGCTGTTAGAAATATTTTATAAGCCATTTCACACTAGAAAACAAACATTTTTTCATCAGTATCCCTGATCAAATTAAATTAATTCCAAACTATATTTAGAATATTAAGGCAAATACATGATCAAGTTTCTAAACTAACAAACAAAACATGTGACAAATTCAATCCAATCTGGTATCTTGATGAAAGAAATGCCGTAGTTTAATCCCACAAATTAAAGAACATAGATGATTGTGTCATTGCTAATCTTTATTTTTCCATGTACGTTAAAAGTCAAAGTCAAGAAAAGTCTTTCTCTTCCTCCCTCATTTGTTCTACTTGATCCATGAGTTTGTATCTGTTTGACTTCACTTGTGAGTAATGCACATTCAGGTAACGGGTGTAGATTCTGGAATGCAGCCATACACAAGTCCCTGGTTCGTTTAACCTTGATCTCAAGATCAAGCTTTACTCTTGATGATTTTCTATGCCCTTCGCCTATGGGTAAAGCCTCCCATAATCTTATCCAAACTGACCTAGGGGTTGGAGCCCCTACAAGCCAAATCACTTCAGCTTTCTGATCTTTTGTCCTCAAGCTCCTAGCATGTGTTTCTAATCACTGCATTGTGCCCCCTGTACTCTGAGCCACTTCATGTCAAGACTCCCAAAAGAGCTTGTTTCTGTCTGTATTATCTGATGCCCTAGAAGTCAGCAAATAATAGCCAGAGGATGAAATCTGACCTGTGGTCTGTCTTTGTATCCTGTGAGCTGAAAAAGTTTTTAAATGGTTGGGGATAGAGAAGAATCAAAGAAGAATAATATTTCATGACATGTAAATGTTACATGAAATTCAAATTTGTGTCCATAAATAAAGTCTTACTGGAACACAGCCACATTCATTTGTTTGTGTATTGCCTATGATCATCTGTGACCACAGCAGAGTTGACTATTTGCAGTAGAGACTGTATGTCCTGCAAAACCTAAAATATTTGCAATCTGGTTCTTTACTCTGGTCTAGGGATCGAGATATCCTTGTTTACCAGTGTGTATACTGGCCTTTTCTCCAATGTGTTCCACTTTATGCCTGCATGACCTGCCATTGGCCTTGTCCTTCACTACAGAAGTGCCAACTTTTTTGTTTCATTTCATTTCATTTTATTTTATTTTATTTTAGAGTCAGGGTCTTGTTCTGTTGCTCAGGCTGATCTTGAACTCCTGGCCTCAAGCAACCCTCCTGCCTCAGCCTCTCAAAGTGCTAGAATTACAGGCATGAGACACCACACCTGGTGATAAATTATAGTTTATAAAAGTTTATATGCTACCTTTTTTCACTTTAATACTGTGAATCTTTCCTTAAGTCATTAAAAATTTGCAAATGATTTTTATTTGTGGCAACATATTCTATCATGTATGTGTATAAGGAAAAGAAAGAGAAGTTTTTAAATAAGCGTGTGAATCACCATTCACTCCTGGAAGGAGTGTCCCCTCTTGTCCCAAAGAACAGAGGCAAAGATGGCATGGTTTGGTATTACTGCTGACCTAAGATTCTGGTGCTATAGAGTGTAGTATAGAGAGAAAAATGACATGCACTGGGATGGCTTTTGGATTGAGAAAGGTTAGGATTGCAGGAGTACTTCTCAACCATCTGAAAGTATCTTAGATGGTTTTCAGTCATTGTCATGAGTTGACATTAGTTCCCTGATTTCCAAAATAGTATAGAAAAATTCCTTAGGTCTGGGAGAGTAAGTACCTTCCAACACAAACCCATCCTTTAAGAACTCTACTCAGGATGACAGCAACCCTCACCACCTTCAACCCTCTTGTCTAATCTATTTTTAAATTTCTGACCCTTTTGTGTAGCTATGAGGTAGGAGGCAGGACTCACTCCAGACCAGATTGAAGACTGGCTGAAACTCTCCATAAGGCACACCCACCACTGCTGTGGCAGCCCCCAGAAGTTACCATTCCTTTTCCAAAAATTTTTGAATAACCTGCCCCTTCATTTGCATGTAATTAAAAGTGGGTATAAATATGAGTGCAGAATTCACTGCCTATGGCGTAAGCTCTGCTCCACAAGAAGCACTATGTCTGCTGCTGCTGTGCACTGTTGCTTTAATAAAAGTTGTTAACACCACCAGCTTGCCCTTAAATTCCTTCCTGGGTGAAGCCAAGAACCCTCCCGGGGTAAGCCCCAATTTCGGGGCTCACCTGCCCTGTCAACTAGGCATTTTTATTCTAGTTTCTCTAGAAACTAAAATGTATATAAACACCATCTTAATTGACAGCAAATATCTGCATACTGTGTTGTTTTCATTTAACCATATTCTGGCTTCCTAAGATGAAAAAAGAAACTCAGATCATATATCCACATGTTTAAGGCACACAAGATATAGGACAAATAATGAGGCACAAATGATGCTTTATGCCAAAAGTTCTTAAATTACATGAATTAAAGGGAGGTATTCCTATTCTGACATTTAAAAAAGGTACAGGTAAGCAAATATCCCAAATTTCTAATAGAAAGTTTTAGTGACAGGTTTAGTCTGCCCAAAACTGTCTGGTTAAAAAAAAAAAAGCAGATTCATGAATTAAGTATAGAAAACATTACCCTTTTTGTCTGTCATAGGCTTCCATGGATTAAAGCAACAATCAAACCTGTTGCTATGCAAGGAAATGATCATATATTTTATTTTATTTTATTTTTGTTTTTGTTTTTATTTTTGTGACAAAGGGTCTCACTCTGTCACCCAGGCTGGAGTGAGGAGCACAATCATGGCTCACTGTAGCCTCAGCCTCTCTGGCACAAGTGATCCTCTCACCTCAGTCTCCCAGGTAGCTGGGACTACAGGCATAAGTCACCACACCTGTAGTCCCAGCTACAAAAATAAAATAATTTTGTAAAAGTACAAAATAATTTTTGTATTTTTTGTAGAAATGGGATTTCACTGTGTTAACCAGGCTGGTCTCAAATGCGGGGGCTCAAGCAATCCACCCACCTCAGTCTTCAAAAGTGCTGGGATTACAGGCATGAGCCACAGTGCCCAACCATGATTATATATTTTAAAGTACATTTAAAAACACAGCTGTTCATCAGGACAAAGAGCTAATGCATGTGGGGCTAGGTGATAGGTTGATAAGTGCAGCAAAACACCATGGCACACATATACCTATATAACAAACCTGCATGTTCTGTACATGTATCCTGGAACTTAAAGTAAAATAAAATAAAATAAAAGTGAGGTCAGGCACAGTGGCTTACTCCTGTAATCCCAGCACTTTGGGAGGCCGAGGCAGGTAGATCACCTGAGGTCAGGAGTTCAAGACCAGCCTGGGCAACATGGAAAACCCCATCTCTACAAAAAATACAAAAATTAGCCAGGCGTGGTGGTGTGTGCCTGTAATCCCAGCTACTCAGGAGGCTAAAGCAGGAGAATTGCTTAAACCTGGGAGGCGGAAGTTGCAGTGATCTGAGATCACACCACTGCACTTCAGCCTGGGCGACAGAGCGAGACTCTGCCTCAAAAAAAAAAAAAAAAAAAAAAAGAAAGAAAGAAAGAAAGAAAGAAAAAAGTGGGGAAAAAAAAACCCCAGCTCTTTCAGGAAGGTAAGGTTTGGTAGAACTTACCGGATCGTGTCTGGCATATGTAGCCTCGTTTACTGTCGCAGGTATCATCCATCCATTTTCCTGCTTCATTTGATGCACCTCCAATAATAACAACACAGTCAGCCTGTATATTTATGGAGAAAGAAAAAGAAAACAATCATGAATCAACGACTATTGAAATCAATTCATTAATAAGCAAAAAAATCTTTCATTATCCCTGATTTCCAAATTTTAAGATTGTCCTAACTTAAGATATGCTCAATCCATCATTACTTTCTACCCAACTCTACCTACTATGCATATCCTCCACATTTGAACTCTCACTATATGAATCGAAAACCCAACCGATTTGGATAAATTTTGGAGACAGGACTGAGAAATTTTGCTATCAGACCTTTTATCCAACACTATAAAAACTTAGAAATCAAAGAAACTAGGAGAACACAGTATCCTCTCCATACTAATTACCAGTATTCAAACCCAAAAGTAGGTACCATATTTTTAAAGGGAAATGAGCATGATCTATATATTTCATTGCTAAATTTATAAAAGTATTATTATAGATTCATAGTATGTGGCTGGTATAGCCAGAAAGTTTCACATCTTATTTATAGTCTTACAGGGGAGTATGCCAGGACTGGAACAATATTATATTTGTTTGGTTGTGAATGTGTTTGCCATTCCAAATCCTTCTTTCCTTTATGTACTAAATATATCTCAGATTTTTTTTTCTGAAATGCCATTATTTCCATTCTAATCCTCATACCTGGTCCTGTTGGAGTAGAGGTAAGAGAAACACATGCTGCCTGCCCCATTTCAATGTACTATCTACACTTTAATTTGAAATATGGCATTTTGCTCATTTAAAGTAAGAGAAGGCCAGGCACAGTGGCTCACACCTGTAATCCCAGCACTTTGAGAGGCCAAGGCTAGAAGATCGCTTGAGCCTGGGAGTTCAAGACCAGCCTGGGCAACATAGGGAGACCTCAACTCTACAAAAAATAAACAAAATTAGCTGGGCATGGTGGTGCATGCCTGTGGTCTCAGCTACTCAGGAGACTGAGGTGGGAGGATCGCTTGAGCCTGGGAGGTTGAGGCTGCAGTGAGCTATGACCATACCACTGCACTCCAGCCAAGCTGAGAGAACAAGACCTTGGGAAGGAAGGAAGGAAGAAAGGGAGGGAGGGAGGGAGGGAAGGAAGGGCTGAGGGAAGCCAGAAATAAAGACAAGAGACCTGGTCAAATCACTTTGCTTTTTTGCTGGAGCCCCCAAATTTCACTGTGTTTATTTTCACAGTTATCTTCTATTTTTTTTTTTTTTTTCCTAGATGGAGTCTCGCTCTGTCGCCAGGCTGGATTGCAGTGGCGCAATCCTGGCTCACTGCAACCTCTGCCTCCTGGGTTCAAGCAATTCTTCTGCCTCGGCCTCCCGAGTAGCTGGGACTACAGGCGTGTGCCACCACGCCCAGCTAATTTTTGTACTTTTAGTAGAGATGGGGTTTCACCATGTTGGCCAGGATGGTCTCGATCTCTTGACCTCGTGAACTGCCCACCTCAGCCTCCCAAAGTGCTGGGATTACAGGCATGAGCCACCACGCCTGGCCAGTTATCTTCTATTTATGGTGACTATATCAATTTTCTACTTTCTTCTAAAAAGAAGTTTTCTTTTAAAGTAAATTTAAGCAAAACAAAAAAAAGGAGCACACTTAAAGAAAATGCTGAGAACTTAAGTCTCTAGTTGGATATGTAAGGAGCTTGGAAGTTGTCACTCCCAACCACAATGCAAGAAAATGGCGAGAAAAGCTGAACATCAACAACTTCTCTTAAATGCATTGGAAAATGGAGGTCACAAGACAAACAGCTGCCCCCCAGATTGGAGAAACGGACTGATGGATATAGGGAATAAGAATTGACCAGAGCAGAAGCCCAGGAGCAGAAAAAGGGAACAAGTATTGAGGTAGGAGATACTAAATGTCATTGACACATTGCTGGAGGTTCAGTGTGGACAAGTTTGAAAATTAAAAACTGTTGGCAGAGGAGTGCATGGGGAGGCAGTCCTAGAGAGACTGCAGAGTTTTTTGAGTTTTCCTTCCATGAGTCCTACCAGATTCTTACAGTGCAGACTGGAGAAAAATTTCCTCTTGCTTCCAACAGGAGAGGTGGGAAAAGAGCCATTTTAAAATACGACAGAGCATTCATTCTGTTCTTAATAAGACCAGCACTCAAGAGCAACAAGTTTACCAGTGCCTAACTAACTGCGGTTTCACCACACGTTAACTAACCTAGGAGAAAAGAAATACTCAACTCCAGCCTCTCTAGCTTTCCTGTCTCACCCAAAATGAAAAAGCAACAAAACAAAACCGAGAAGCACTTTCGAAGGTCACAGCACAGATTCCCTAAAAGTCAGAGTCCCCATCATAGGACTACGAAATACTTCCCCTCCCCAATATCTTACCACCATATCCTTGGGGCTCCCGTATGATAACAGGCAGATACAGCCGAAGAACTGTGCCTCTCTGACATTATTTCAGAAGTCTTTAGGAGAACCCAAAGACAACAGGAGAGACAGAAACAAGGACACCAGAGATTTTAACCTCTGACACCTAAAGTGACAGCAAACAGCAAACACAGCCTAATTCGTAGCTAAGTAAACATGAAACCTCACACTAAATGTCTATTTACCTCTGTTCCCTTTATCCACTACGTCAGCAGTTCCCAACCTTTTTGGCACCAGGGACCAGTTTCATGGAAGACAAACTTTCCACAGACTGGGGTGGAGGGTGGTTTCGAGATGATTCAAACGCATTACGCTTATTATGCACTTTACTGCTGTTATTATTACACTGTAATATGTAATAAAATAATGAGCACCGGGCGCAATGGCTCACGCCTGTAATCCCAGCACTTCGGGAGGCCGAGGCGGGCAGATCACGAGGTCAGGAGGTCGAGAGCATCCTGCCTAACACAGTGAAACCCCGTCTCTAGTAAAAATATAAAAAATTAGCCAGGAGTGGTGGCGGGCGCCTGTAGTCCCAGCTACTCGGGAGGATGAGGCAGGAGAATGGCGTGAACCCGGGAGGCGGTGCTTGTAGTGAGCCGAGATCGCGCCACTGCACTCCAGCCTGGGCAACAGAGTGAGACTCCATCTCAAAAATAAATAAATAAATAAATAAATAAATAAATAAATAAATAAATAAATAAAACTAGTGATACAACTCACCATCACGCAGAATCAGTGGGAGCCCTGAGCTTGTTTTCCTGCAACTAGATGGTCCCATCTGGGGGTAATGGGAGACAGGGACAGATCATCAGACATTAAATTCTCATAAGGAGCGTGCAACCTAGATCCCACGCATGCACAGTTCACAGTAGGGTTCACGTTTCTATGAGAATCTAATGCCACTGCTGATCTGACAGGAGGCGGAGCTCAGGCAGTGATGCGAGTGACGAGGAACGGCTGTAAATATAGATGAAGCTTAGCTCACTCGCCTGCCACCCGCCTCCTGCTGTGAGGCTCAGTTCCTAACAGGCCATGGATTGGTACCCATCTGTGGCCCACGGGTTGCAGACCCCTGCACTGTAATATATACCCAGCTTTCAACATAAAAATATAAGACACACTAAAAGATTTTTTAAAAACACACACACAGTTTGAAGCGAAGAGCAAGCATAATAAGCAGACACAGATGTGACAAAGACAGTGGAATTATCAAAAATTTAAACAACTATGAATAATATGCTAAGGGCTCTAATGTAAAAAGTGGACAACAAGCAAGACTGGGTAGGTAACGTAAGCAGAGAGATGAAAATGCTAAGAAAGGATCAAAAGGAAATTCTAGACATCAAAAACACCTTAAGAGAAATGAAGACTATCTCTGATAGGCTCACTGGGTGTGGCCAAGGAAACGAGAAAGGAACAGAAGAAGTATAATTTGAAGCAATAATGACTTAGAATTTCCCAAAATTAACGACTGACAGCAAATCACAGATCCAGGAAGCTCAGAGAACATCAGACAGGATAAATACTAAGATACAACATCTAAACACATCACACTCAAACTGCAGAAAATCAAAGATGAAGAGAAAATCTTGAAAGAAGCCAGACGAAAAAAAAAATCTTATCTCTAAAGAAGCAAGAATAGTAATTACGTTGGATTTCTTTTCAGAAACCACGCAAGCAAGAAGAGAGTGGAATGCAATATTTAAAGTGCTGAAAGAAAAAACCCACCAACCTAGAATTCTGTCTCCAGTGAAATTGTCCTTAAGAAGTGAAAAGAAAACAAAGACTTTCTCAGACAAACAAACATTGAGAAAATTTGTTGCCTGTAAACTTAGCTTGAAAGAAATGTTAAAAGGAAAAAAGAAGGAAAATTATATATGTCAGAAACTCAGGTCTATATAGATAAATGAAAAGCATTAGAGAAGGAATAAATGAAAGAAAAATAGAATTTTTCATTTTCCTTATTCTGAATTCATCTAACAGATACCGGTCTCTTCAAACAACTATAGTTGTTGTTAAACAACTATGAATAATATACTAAGGACTCTAATGTAAAAAGTGGACAGCAATGTATTTGGTGATAACGTATTTGGTGATAATAGCTTATGGATAAGTGAAATGAATTATAGCAATGTTACACGGGAAAGGAGGAAGAAATAGGAGATGCTTTCTTATGTGCTGTTTGAAAAAGGACTTGGATTAGTTGTAAATATATACTGCAAACTCAAGAGCAACCACTAAAGAAAGTTTGTTTCTGTTTTTGTTTTAGGCCAAGAGTGGTGGCTCATGCCTGTAATCCCAGTACTTTGGGAGGCCAAGGTAGGAGGATTGCCCGAGCCCAAGAGTTCAAGACCAGCCTGGGTAACACAGAAAGACCCCGCCTTTATTTGTAATAAAAAGAAAAAAGAAAAGAAAAAAGCTTTCTTAAAGTATAATTGGTATGCTAGGAGTGGAGAACAAATAAAATCATACAAAATATTGAAGTAAAACCAGAGAAGGCAAGAAAGAGTGGAAGACAAAAAAATGAAATACAGAATAAAAACAGAAAACAATAGCAAATATGATAGATGTTAACCCAGCTACATCAACAATCATTTTAAATGTTAATGGTCTAACTACACAAATTAATAGACAAAGACTCAGATATTGGTATAAGAAATTCACTTTAAATATAAAGATACACATAAGTTAAAAGTGGAGAAAAATGGAGAAAGATACGCTACACTAACACTAATCAAAAGAAAGCTAGACCAGCTATATTAATTTCAGACAGAGCAGACTATAGGGCAAGGAAAGTTACCAGAGGTAAAGAGGAACATTACGTAATGATCTAGCGGACAATTCTCCACCAAGACATAACAGTCTCTACTGTGTATGTGGCTAACAATAGAGCATCAACATATGTAAAGTGAGAACTGATAGAACTGCAAAGATAAATAGATAAATCCATGATTAGGACTGGAGACTTCAATACTCTTCTATCAAAAATAGACAGATCCAGCAGGCAAAAAATCAGTAAGAACATAGTTAAAGTGGACAGCACCAA